>NC_000006.12:96131396-96282911 GCF_000001405.40 Homo sapiens | reverse complement strand
AAGCTAGAAAAACGTTCTTTATTTATTTATTAGTATTTTATTTTTTTCAGAGACTTCGTTAACTATGTTGCCCAGGCTGGAGTGCAGTGGCTATTCACAGGCACAATCCTACTACTGATCAGCAATGAAGTTTTGACCTACTCCATTTCTGACTAGGGCTGGTTCACCCCTCTTTAGGCAACCTGGTGGTTCCCTGCTGCCAGGAGGTCACCATATTGATGCCAAACTTAGTGTAGACACCCGATCAGCATAGCTCACTACAGCTCAGAACACCTAGGCTTGAGCAATCCTCCTGCCTCAGCCTCCTGAGTAGCTGGGACTAAAGGCATACACCACTGCACTGGTGCTAGAGAAACTTTAAAATAAGGGTAGGAAAAGTTCAGATATTCAGAACAGTGGAACAGAAATGTCTTTTTACAAGTAATCTGGTTAACTCCTTTGGCTCTAGTATAAAACTTTTCCTCAATTATTCCTGAAAGATAACAGTGAACCCTTCATGTATGAGTCCAGGAGGAAATACCACAATTCTCTCAAGTATTAGAATGCCTTTTATTTCACTTCTCAAATTAAATCTCTTATTATTGGCTGGGCATGGTGGCTCACACCTGTAATCCCAGCACTTTGGGAGGCCAAGGTGGGCGGATCACAAGGTCAGGAGTTCAAGACCAGCCTGGCCAATATGGTGGAACCCCGTCTCAACTAAAGATACAAAAAAAATATTATCTGGGTGTGGTGGTGGGCGCCTGTAGTCCCAGCTACTCAGGAGGCTGAGGGAGGAGAATCACTTGAACCCGGGAGGTGGAGATCTTGCCACTGCACTTCAGCGTGGGTGACAGACTGAGACTCCGTCTCAAAAAAAAAAAAAAACGTATTATTATTGTATCGCTACTGTAAGGTGTGATACTTTTCCTCACTCACCATAAGAGGCATGGTTGACACTCCTGTAACAAAAAATAGGTTAACAAGAAAAAAGCATAACAAATGTATTTTTGAAGGTTTTATGTAATATGGGAGCCTTCAGACATGAAGAATGAAAGACTCAGGAAAAACAGTCAATTTTTATGCTTGGGTTTGTTGAAGAATGGACAGCCTTGCAGAAATGTGACTGGACTAAAAGGTAAAAGCTAATGGTAATAAACTGAGAGGGGAAACCCAGCAAGGTCTATTCAGATTTCTCTCGTCCTCTCTGGGTACCATTCATTCCTCCCAGGTTTGGGGAAGGACCCTTCTGGAGAGAGAGTCTTCAAGGGAGAAAAGAGAAAGAAGAGGGTGACTTTTGTGTGTGTGTGTGTGTGTTGTTTTATGGTTTGCTTTGGGGCAAATGGATTCAAGTTTCTATGACCAAACTTGGGGAAGAGAAATTCTGCTTTCTATGACTTGGTTGAGGGCATAGATCATTTTGGTACTGCCTAACCATGTTAAAGTTTTTTTTTTTTTTAAATAGCCACTATATTTGTCTCATATATCTACCAAATATTGCTACCAGCTTATAGTTTGCACATTAATTTTATAAATGGTGTCTTTGAGATAATTTTACTTCTTGTAGTGAAACTATCATTTTTTCTCTTTTTTAATTATTATTTGATTTTTATAACTTTTTTGTATCATGGCTATGCATCTTTAGAGTGTGATTTGGGAACCATGCACATTTTTTATTCTCTAATAATTTGCAAAGTAGGGAAATGATCTCTTCCAAGGAAGTTTGCACTATTGGCCGTTTGGAATTGCTTGTTTATGACAACTTTCTTGGAATTTAGCTTCTGACAATTTTTTCAAAATCACCCAATACTATTATTGTTAGGATTAGGATTCATCTACTTTGAGTAGTTTTCTTTTCCAGAATATCGTCTACTTTATTGAAATTTTATAATTTACTAACATAAAATTGTGCCTATTATTTTAATTTCCTTTGGTATCCTCCTTTTTATTTCTTAACAAGTTTTTCCATCTTCTCTCTCTTTTTTTTTAAACTCTAATAGCTTGTGGTTTACTTAGTTCATAAAATTCTTCAAGTTTTTTGTTTTATTACATAATGTGAAAGTCTTCATTTCTTAGGTTCTCTGATTGTCAGGAACACCTTGTATACCAGGGAAGGCATGTTTCCTTGTCTTTTAGAGAATTTAACATTTTATCTTCAATGTATAGAGGAGTATAGTAGATTCTCAATAAATGCCCCTGAATAGGTTTTTAGAAAGTGGAGATCAAGGTGGGGGCACAGAGGGGAAGAAAATAGAGTAAATATGAAAAGCATACATTTAAGGAAAATGAATACAGAGAGAATTGAGAAAATATTATTATATTCATAAGAATTTATTCTCTGCTTTATATCGTAAATTACACCACTTTTAGCTTAGGGATTATAGATACTGCAGATTCTCAAGTGTGTGTCTGTTTATTCACTGCTATAAAGAACTACCTGAGACTGAGTAATGTATGAAAAAAGAGGTTTAATTGATTCACAGTTCTTCATGCTTAACAGGAACGTGACTGGGAGGCCTTAGGAAAATTACAATCATGGCAGAAGGGCAAAGGGGATGCAAGCATGTCTTACAATGGTAGAGCAAGAGAGAGAGAGCACAAAGGGAAAGTGCCATACACTTTCAAACAACTCTTGTGAGAACTCACTAACACAGAAACAGCAAGGGGGAAGTGTGCCCCTATGATTCAATCACCTCCTGCAGGCCCCTCCAGTGACATGTGGCGATTACAATTCGAGATGAGATTTGGTTGGGGACACAGAGCCAAATCATATCAATCTGTATTCGTCTGTTCTCACACTGCTATTAAGTACTATCTGAGACTGGGAAATTTATGAATGAAAAGAGGTTTAATTGACTCACAGCTCTACAGGCTGTACAGCAGGCATGGCTAGGGAGGCCTCAAGGAACATACAATCATGGAGGAAGGTGGAGGGGAAGCAAGAAGCTTCTTCCCATGGTGACAGGAAAGAGAGAGCAAAGGAGGAAGTGCCGTACACTTTTAAAACATCAGACCTCATGAAAGCTCACCCAGTATTATGAGAACAGCAGAGGGTGTATTCACCCCATGATCCAAACACCTCCCACCAGGTCCCTCCCCCAACACTGGGAATAACAATTCAACGTGAGATTTGGGTGAGGAGACAGAGCCAAACCATATCAGGGTCTGAGGCCTAATTGCTGGAAATGGAGGAAAGTATGCTAAAGTCATCTGACCAGAAGCTGTCTTAATTTCTTTGCACTGTGATTATTTTGTTTGGGATTGAAACATTCCCTGTCCCTGCATGCATCATATGTATGTTATCTTGTCATCCTGCACTATGAGCATCTGATTTGAAGGTATATGGGGTCGCTTCATACAATTCCATCACTTTGTGGAACAACAGCAAGATGTCTGGCAATAGTTTTTGGACAATTAGATATGGTCAACTTAAGATATTGTAAGAGGCTGAAGTTTGATTTAGTTTTGTGAAGGAAAACATGTATATCTTGTAAAGGATTTCTTAAATTTACTCTCAAGAGATTAATCTCATTTCATATTCTTCCTTGAGCCACTTAAATTTATTCTATATACCACAGGACCTTTACCAGAAGCATTGGTAACCATGGCTTTCTTTTTTCTGGTGGCCATATGTTTTCTTATCTTGTAAGTTATTAGCTCTATCCAGTGAATCAGGGAGAACACAGAAGTGCATTCAATTAATTTCTTAGCTCAAAGGCATCAATCTGCAGTTTCTTACTTCCATTACATATGTCGGCAGTGCCTTTTATGAAGGCTGACTGCTATTTCTGAGACAGCACAAATTTAACCTGAACTCTTGGACAGGTTTTCTTGATGACATGGTTGATTTCCAAAAGGATTTTATTTTGATCAAGAACATGATTTTGAGGAATGGTAGAAGAGGTATTTTGGAGTAGATTTACTTTACAAACTCTTTCAAAATCTATTTTTATTTCAGTCTAAATTTCAAAGCAAATGCCACTTTACATAGTAACAGAACTCTTCCAGTGTGTAAAACATTTTTGTGATTAACGTTCTTAAATTATGATTAATTCAACTTACATTGTTGATTACATACTATATGCCAGATACTACACTAGACATTGAAGTTCCAAAATAAAATATGTGCTCTTGCTTCAGAGATGAGAGTGTGTATAGTAGGGTGGTTGATTATCAAACCAGCATAATAAAATAAGGTACACGTTTTGTGTTGCTATGAGACTGTGTTCAAAGGGCACTGAGAAAAGAACGAATGGCATACATCTTAAATGTTATGTTCTTTTTTTATGGAAGAAGATAAAAATAAGCAATGGCTAGGATTGGTGACAAGATAGCAATTGTGAAATAAAATAGGTGTCACAGTTACACTGGAAGCAGAATGATAATTTAGTACTCAATTGATAAAATGATTGCACTTTCACAATGGATTATCTACTATCAACCAAACCCAGGTCACTTACATTGGGGGGAAAACGTCTCCATCAAAATAAAGTTCACTCCTACTATTTGACTGCTTTTAGTATTAACTATGTTTATTTTTGATAGCTGATAAATATCTGTGTTTTGAATATATTGCTCTTGATTCACAGGGGATATATATATATATATTTTACACATACACACACACACACACACACACACACACACACACACACACACACACACTCTGAATAATTTCCTTAACTCTTCTTCCAGATCTTTCAGTAGATCTTTTTCAGACATATGCTTCCTTTAAGTCTCCAAATGCTTATTCTTCTACTTTACTATGCGGTATTTTTTTTCTTTCATGTTCCATGGCATTGAATATTATGATATTTATTAAAACACAGATTTTGTTAGAATATGAGACAGGAGTATCACTTGAGCCCAGGAGTTTGAGATGAGCCTTGGCCATAAAGTAAATCCCCATCTCTCAAAAAAAAAAAAAAAAATAGCCAGTGTGGTGGTGTGCATCTGTAGTTCAGCTCTACTCAGGAGGATGAGATGGGAGGATAACTTGAGCCCAGGAGTTTGAGGCTGCAGTGAGCTATGATTGTGCCACTGCACTCCAGCCTGTGCAACAGAATGAGACCCTGTTTCCAAAAAAAGAAAAAGAAAAAGAATACTGGATGAATGATTGCTCTTGATCTTTCTCCTGTTCATGAGTGGGGGTTAATTTTTTTTCCTTAGGTTCACAAGGAGCAGGTTAATTCAGTTCATTCTTTTTAGTTCATATTTCAAAATCTGTTAAGTTTTTTCAGGAACACCTCTGCAGTATTGCAGGTTTATCTTCCTTCTACCTGTGTCTATTGGTTGTCTGTTCCTCTCAGCAGTCACTAATATGTGAAAAACTGCACTTTTCAATATGCATGATTACCAGCATTCTTCCCATCTCTACTTCCACTATCTGGTACTCTATTCTACTCTGGCTAAGCTGGCACCCAGGCCACAAGGCAAAGTTTTTCCCACTCTTCCTCCTCCCCTCTTTGTAGTGGCAGAAGAACTTTTCCCCATCACTGCTTCAGGGTTACATCAAGTACTGCTTGGCTACTACTGGTGTTCCCTCAAGGCCCAAGGCCTCTTCAGTCAGCTTGTGGTAAATGCCGCCAGGCCTAGGATTCTCCTTTCAGGGCAGTGGGCTCCTCTCTGTCCCACAGAAGGTCCAGAAATGCTGTCCAAGAGCTCAGACCTGAAATCAGGTACCCAAAAAGCCTGTTTGGTGCTCTACCCCACTGTGGCTGAGCTGGATCCTAAGCTGAAAGACAAAATCCTCTTTACTCTTCCCTCTCTTTTTCTCAAGCAGAAGGGGTCTCTCCCTGTAGCCACTTGAGCTGGGAATGTGCTGGTTCACATCTGATGCTAGCACATCTGTGAGTCTCACTCAATGTCCCTGGTGAGCACCACTTGGCTGCTACTGCTGATTATTATAAGCCTAAGGAATCTTTATTCAGCAGATAATGAATCCTGCTAGAACTGGGTCCTTCCCTTCAAGGAAGTGGGTTACCTTCCTGCTAAGGATGTGTATAGAAATGTCATCCAGAAGCTAGGGCCTGGAGTGGGGGTCTCAGGATGCTGCCTATCCTACTGATTGCCCTATCCTACTGTGGCTGAGCTGGTATCCAAGTTGTAAAGCAAAGTCTTCTTAACTCTCCCCTCACCTCTCTTTAGGCAGAGGGAAGAATCTGTCTCAGAGCTGCAAGCTGTGTTTTCTAGGGTTGGAGGAGGGATGAAAAAAGCACTCCATTTGCCACCCCACCCGGTGTCTCACTGGATCGTATACATCTTAAATCCACTGGCTCCAAGCCCAGCACAGTACTAGGACTTGTCCAGGAATTGCAGTCCTTGTGGCCTAGACTGCCTTTCCTTATTTAGAACCCCAGAGCACTTTAGCCTGCAGTGGTAGGGCTTGCTGTAACTCAGGTTCCAACCACTGGGATGGGCAATTTTCCTCTGGCTAAGGCTGATCTAAATGCCCTGCATGTGAGTTCCAACAAGTTCTGCCTGGTGTTGCTTTCAGCTGTGACAGGCAGCACTGAGTTCCAATGCAAAGTCTCACAATCACTGTGTTTTCCTCCCTCAAATGCACATATTACTTCTTTGCATGTGGTTGCCACTAGAGAACTGGGAAGGGGTGGCATGGGCAATTCAAGACTGTCTTTCCTACCTTCTTTAGTGCATTTTTCAGTAATATAAAGTTAAAACCAGGTACTGTGTGCACACACCTGATTTTTGTTTTTTATGAAGGTGCATTTTTTGTGAGGATAGTTGTTCAATTTGATGTTCCTTTGGGGAGGACAATTAGTGGAGGATTCTATTCAGCCATCTTGCTCTGCCTCCTCCCTCACTGCACTTCTTATCTTCTTTACCCAGCTTTACTTTTCTCCCTAGAGCATATTACCACCTAACATATTGTGTACTTGCTTGTTTATAGTCTCTCTTTCCCCAGTGGACTGCATACTCTATGAGGATAAGGACTTTGATTTTATTTATCCACCTCTATATCCCCAGGGCTTAAAAGAGAGCTCTTCATGAAGTAGATGCTCAATATATTTGTAGAATACATGGCATGAAGTGATACATGCAAGGCGAATGGGTAGAGTATAGCAGTTTCATTTTAAAGAAGCAATTAAGGAAAGGCTTTCTCAGGATGAGACACTTGAGCAGAGGCTAGGGAAGTAGTGGGCCCTGTGAAAGTCTGGGGGAATGTCATAGGCAAGAAAGAGAAAGGGAATGTGTTCTGGGAAAGAAACATGCTTGGAGACCAGTGATTTCTCTTGGTGATGATAATGAGTAATAACAAATCTTCTATTTTAATTAATTTTATCCTCTTGTTATTTATTTTAATATGGAATTCTAAGTCAGAAGTTGAAAGTGAGTGACCATTGAGCCAAATCCAGCCAAAAGACACATTTCATTTGGCACACATAATTTTTTATAGGATAAAATTATTTGCTAGCATTTAAAATGGAGAGACTTCACTTCTGGTTCTTCTAGACTTTTTGGTTTCTCCTGAACAATCAGAATATTAAAAAGCCAGTGCCACCAATCAGCTGGAACTGAGCAGTGGTGATCTCTATAAATGAGACTCAGTCTATTTACTTTTATTTCTCATCTTGCTCTACTGTCCTCAATCTACTTGCTGCATTCACTAATGTTATCTGCCCCAACCAGAAGGCATTTATTGTAGTCATACTCCTGGGTGCACTTAAAAAATATAATTTTTATACATTTAAAGAGTATAAGTAAAATTTTCTTACATGAATATATTGGGTAGTGCTGAAGTCTGGGCTTTTAGTATACCCATCACTTGAATAGTGAACATTATACCGAACAACCAGTTTTTTCAATCCTCATCCCACTCCCTCCCTCCCACCTTTCGAAGTCTCCAATGTCTATTTTTCCAATTTGTATGTCCATGTAGGATGACATGAATATTCTTTCTAAAAGTGTCTGTGAAAGTTCACCTGAAAATGGCATGTGTACTTTTCTAAGTAAAGCTTAATGACTATTTAGAGGCTTTTATAATACATTAGATGTTCCTGATCAAAATAAGAAAAGATTATTTTTTAAATTGCTCTTTGTTCACAAACTTTTCAACTGAAAGATGGAAATGCATAATTTACTGAAAATAATATGACTTTTAGCTGTCAAAATTTTTAAGTTATGTCACAGTTAATATTTTATTAGATATATTTTATCAAAGGCAGACAGCCTGTCATGCTGTAACTTAATTTTTCTTTTACAGAGATCATAGGGAGAAGTTGTTCAGAAATCTCCTCTTGTCTTGCACTGAGAGAGGATCATAGAAAGGGCACTCATTGACTTCTAATTATCTAACATCTAAGATGCCCACTTCCTAGGGCTTTCCAATATTTGATTGAACTTAAGCTTGTCTTCATTCAGCCTTTTGAAAGGCTATTTGGCTATAGGGGCTCAAGAACAGGTGATGTGAGTCTGCCGTATATCTTGATCTCTATGAATTTATTCTAATTGGATATAACTGTAATGTTGTGAGATGCCTGGATATCTTTGAATAAAATGTAAAGACTAAAATGTGTGAAGTAAATTGTTTTAGTTATGCTTCTCACACAGGTGATCAATATGATAGTGTGATTGAATGAATGAGTCATTAGGCTTTTAGTTTTCAGTAAGCGCTATTTAAAAGTAAAAAGATTCCTAGCTGTCTGAACTTAAGTTAGCAGAAACACCTGTGCAAATCTGGGAGCCTGTACTTTAACTGAGCTTGAAGCTTTATTGTAGGCACAATTAAACTAATTATACAATCAGATTTTCTAGACACGATAAGTTTCTCTGTAGCATCATGTAAGAGCTTTTTGCAATTTTGCATTTTCTAGTTGTACACATCAATTTGCTAGGAGAGGCATGCAAATTTTAATACATTTCAGAAATATTTTCATACTGTAACTGAAATAGCAAATGAAATATAGGTCTGTAGAAGAAAGTGTTGCACTTAAAACCTTTTAAGTGTACAAAAAATAATGTACACATTGGCAGCTACCGTAACACAATTTCTATTAGTCCATTTGGGCTGCTATAACCCAATTCCTTAAAGTGAGTAATTTATATCTCTGGAGCACAGCTAAAGCAGTGTTTAGATGGAAATTTATAGCACTAAATGCCCACAGGAGAAAGCAGGAAAGATCTAAAATCGACACCCTAACATCACAATTTAAAAAACTAGAGAAGCAAGAGCAAACAAATTCAAAAGCTAGCAGAAGACAAGAAATAACTGAGATCAGAGCAGAACTGAAGGAGGTAGAGATACAAAAAATCCTTCAGAAAATCAATGAATTCAGGAGCTTGTTTTTGGAAAAGATTAACAAAATAGATAAACCACTAGCCAGATTAATAAAGAAGAAAAGAGAGAAGAATCAAATAGACACAATAAAAAATTATAAAGGGGATATCACCACTGATCCCACAGAAATACAAACTACCATCAGAGAATACCATAAATACCTCTATGCAAATAAACTAGAAAATCTAGAAGAAATAGATAAATTACTGGACACATACACCCTCCCAAGACTAAACCAGGAAAAAGTCAAATCCCTGAATAGATCAATAACAAGTTCTGAAATTGAGGCAGTAATTAATAGGCTACCAACCAATCCAAGCCCAGGACCAGATGGATTCACAGCCAAATTCTACCAGAGGTACAAAGAGGAGCTGGTACTATTCCTTCTGAAACTATTCCAAACAACAGAATAAGAGGGATTCCTCCCTAACTCATTTTATAAGGCCAGCATCATCCTGATACCAAAACCTGGCAGAGACAAAACAAAAAAAAGAAAATTTCAGGCCAATATCCCTGATGAACATCAACGTGAAAATCCCCAATAAAATACTGGCAAACTGAATCCAGCAGCACATCAAAAAGCTTATCCATCACGATCAAGGTAGCTTCATCCCTGGAATGCAAGGCTGGTTCAACATATACAAATCAATAAACGTGATCCATCACATAAACAGAACCAATTACAAAACCCACATGATTATCTCAATAGATGCAGAAAAGGCCTTTGACAAAATTCAACACCCCTTTATGCTAAAAACTCTCAATAAACTAGTTATTGATGGAATGTATCTCAAAATAATAAGAGCTATTTATGACAAACCCACAGCCAATATCATACGAATGGGCAAAAGCTGGAAGAATTCCCTTTGAAAACCAGCATAAGACAAGAATGCCCTCTCTTACCACTCGTATTCAACACAGTATTGGAAGTTCTAGCCAGAGCAATCAGACGAGAGAAAGAAAGAAAGGGTATTCAAATAGGAAGAGAGGAAGTCAAATTGTCTCTATCTGCAGATGACATGATTGTATATTTAGAAAAGCCCATTGTCTCAGTCCAAAATCTCCTTAAGATGATAAGCAACTTCAGCAAAGTCTCAGGATACAAATCAATGTGCAATTGATACATAAGCACTCCTATACACCAATAATAGACAAACAGAGAGCCAAATCATGACTGAATTACCATTCACAATTGCTAAAAAAATAATAAAATACCTAGGAATACAACTTTCAAGGGATGTGAAGGACCTGTTCAAGGAGAACTACAAACCATTGCTCAAAGAAATAAAAGAGAACACAAACAAATAGAAAAACATTCTATGCTCATGGATAGGAAGAATCAATATTGTATAAATGGCCATACTGCTCAAAGTAATTTATAGATTCGATGCTATCCCCATGAAGCTACCATTGAGTTTCTTCACAAAATTAGAAAAAAAGACTTTAAATTTCATATGGAACCAAAAAAGAGCCCCTATACCCAAGACAATCCTAAGCAAAAAGAACAAAGCAGGAGGCATCACACTACCTGACTTCAAACTATACTACAAGGCTACAGTAATCAAAACAGCATGGTACTGGTATCGAAACAGATATATAGAGCAATGGAACAAAGCAGAGGCCTCAGAAATAACACTGCATCTACAACCATCGGATCTTTGTCAAACCTGACAAAAACAAGAAATAAGGAAAGGATTCTCTGTTTAATAAATGATGTTGGGAAAACTGGCCAGCCATATGCAGAAAACTGAAACTGGACCCCTTCTTTACACCTTATACAAAAATTAACTTGAGATGGATTAAAGACTCAAACATAAGACCTAAAACTATAAGAACCCTAGAAGAAAATCTGGGCAATACCATTCAGGGCATAGGCATGGGCAAAGACTTCATGACTAAAACACCAAAAGTAATCTCAACAAAAGCCAAAACTGACAAATGGGATCTAATTAAATTAAAGAGCTTCTGCACAGCAAAAGAAACTATCATCAGAGCGAACAGGCAACCTAGAGAATGGGAGAAAATTATTGCAATCTATCCATCTGACAAAGGGCTAATATCCAGAAGCTATAAGGAACTTAAATTTACAAGAAAAAAACAAACAACCCCAACAAAAAGTGGGCAAAGGATATGAACAGATGTTTCTCAAAAGAAGACATTTATGCAGCCAACAAACATATGAAAGAAAGCTCATCATCACTGGTCATTAGAGAAATGCAAATCAAAACCACAATGAGATACCATCTCACACCAGTTAGAATGGTGGTCATTAAAGTCAGAAAACAACAGATGCTGGAGAGGATGTGGAGAAATAGAAATGCTTTTACACTGTTGGTAGGAGTGTAAATTAGTTCAACCATTGTGGAAGACAGTGTGGCGATTCCTCAAGGATCTAGAACCAGAAATACCATTTGACCCGGCAATCCCATTACTGAGTTTATACCCAAAGGATTATAAATCATTCTACTATAAAGACACAGCACACATATGTTTATTGCAGCACTATTCACAATAGCAAAAACTTGGAACCAACCCAAATTCCCATCAATGATAGACTGGATAAAGAAAATGTGGCACATATACACCATGGAATACTATGCAGGATGAGTAAAAAAGGGTGAGTTCATGTCCTTTGGAGGGACATGGATGAAGCTGGAAACCATCATTCTCAACAAACTAACACAGGAACAGAAAACCAAACACTGCATGTTCTCACTCATAAGTGGGAGTTGGATAATGAGAACACGTGGACACAGGGAGGGGAACATCACACACCAGGGCCTATTGTGGGGTAGGGGGCTAGGGGAGGAATAGCATTAGGAGAAATACCTAATCTAGATGATGGGTTGATGGGTGCAGCAAACCACCATGGCATGTGTATACCTATGTAACAAACCTGCACATTCTGCACATGTATCCCAAAACTTAATAATAATAAAAGAATTCTCATTCATTGCTTGTGGGAATGTAACATGGCAAAAAAATGAGTAATTTATAAACAATAGAAATTTATTGTTAACAGCTCTGGACATCAACCCACTGGCAGATTTGGTGTCTGGTAAGGGCTTGCTCTCTACTTCAAAGATGGAGCCTTCTTGTCATGTCCTCATATGGCAGAAGAGGTGGAAGAGGGGCAAACAGGCTCCCCCAAGCCCTTTTATAAGGGCACTAATCCCATTCATTAGGGCAGGGCCCTCAAGATCTAATCACCTCCCAAAGGCCCCACCTTTTAATGGTTTGACATATGAATTTTGGAGGGACACAAACATTCAGACCATAGCACAGTTACATGTATTAAAGTAAATTAAGAGAACAAGCCTGAAGAATCACTGAGCAAACAAGGCCAGTCAGGCCTCATAAGTGACCTTAACCTTGCTTGATTTACAAACAGAAGCAAAACTTAATTTGAGCTATTTCTTGTGAATGCCTGTATCAAAGAAAAACAGAGCTTAAGCTCAACCAATCAGAAATAGTCAACTGACATATAATTATATAACTAGGGACTTTCCAACAGGATAGACCAAATAAAGCAACTGTGAAACTGTAATCAATCAAATATTGTCTTTGCTTTGCCTCCATGTTTTTCCTATAAATCTCCCTCTTTGCTTTCCCTTAGTGGAGCTCCTGAATCACTAATGGTTTGAAGCTGCCCAAAACATAAATTGCTGTTTGCTCAAATAAACTCTTTAAAATTTTATCGTGCCCCAATTTACTCTTTAAAATGGCTTCTAGTTGTAAATGAGTATTTTTTTATTTGAATTACAGCCTGTCACTTTAAATAAAGAAATGGTCAGCTATTTCATACAATCATTAAAGGTATTTCCTAATGATAAAGAAAATGGAAGATAGAGTATAATAAAAAAGATATTAATTATGGAAATGATTTGCTTACCAAAATATGTGAGTCTTACATAATTTCCCCAAAGTTTGGGCGTGACTCTCTTGCAGGAAAATATCTTATTAAAAATTAGAATATAATTTGCATATCTGTTAAAAATACTGGATTTATGTTTATGTACACACATAATTTTAATTTGGCTTATTGCAGCTTGTTTAGTGACTAATTCAAAAATACTAGTGATTAGAAGTTTTCAAAAGTCCCTAGGTTTCTGTGAATCTTTACTGCAAGTGAACCATCTTAACATCTTTACAAATGTAGTCACCATAATGAGATAGAATTCAAAAGGTCATTTTACCAGTGGTGCCAAAAGTGGGATTACTGAGGCAATCCATTAGGATTTGCTAATATTTAATTAAACACTTGACACTGGCACCCTCAGCAGGCACGTATGTCATATGGTAGCCTATGGGGAGTTATCCTAAGGGAGGCGTAGTTGTCCTAAAACAAAGACGTTTACATAGCCCTTTGTGTATTCATTTGATTTCAACATATTGTGATTATTGAAATTTATTTCTGCCTAATTAGGTAAATTTACAGATTATATTAATCAGTTTTGATGAAACTAGACCTCTCAAAGTGAGCAAATTGTTTAAAAAGTATTTCTGCGAATAAATCCTAGCTTGAAGATATTACTGATAATGCAAGCGTAAATAATCAACAAGTAAATGGCAGAATTAACACTTTTGAAGCTAGCATTTGCTCTTCTGCCACATGGTGGACTCAAATCAATAACCTAATAAAATTTGAGATATTGGTTAAAAAAATATAAAATTATGAGGGTGAGGCTTTTTGAAATTTGAATTGCATCCAGCATCATTAAGGACAAATCTTGTCCTAAGTGTTTATTTAGCCCTGAGATGTTAGCTAATCACAGTATAAAACCATTATGAGAACAAGACATTGAAAGCACTGGGAAGCAAAGGACTATTCTTTCAATACTACTTAGAATTATATGATAATCCATTACTTTGTAAAAACTTAATCAAATATAATAATTGTTTAGATGATAAATTTGAGGTTTCTTAATTGTAAAAGATGAAATGCCATGTACTGTTAGGGAAACATTTGTTCTTGCTCTGGTTAAAAAGTAGCTGTAAGCAACCAAAGTAAGATGTCCCATAAAGAATATATTCTCAATACAAATGATTTCATTAAACAAAAAGTATTTTATTGACTAAGTCTATATGTGTAACCACTGATAAAGCTGCTGATTGGTTTGTAATCATTAATAAAAATGTTCCTGGTCATGATTATAGAGATATCTTCACAATGGAAATGTATTCATTGTATTATTTGTAGAAAAAATTTGAAAATGAAATCACATCATTTTCAAATGTTATGAATATAGCTAATTTTGTAAAAAGAAGACTATTCAATAGAAGAACTCTTTGTATGTTATTTTTAACACAATACAAGTGACCATAAAACTCTTTTTTATGCACTGCAATTTTCTGGTTGTCTTATAACAAGTCCTTAAAGGAGTTGGCAACTTAAAAAAAGATATAATTTTTCTTTTAAAAAAGACAAGTTTCCTAAATTTGCTGACATTTCCAGGAATGAAGAGATGTACTACCTGGAATATATATATATTTCAAAATAAGACATAACCTGTTTCTTCAAGTTAAAATTGAGATGTTAACAAAGAGTGAGAAAATGAATACTTATTCAAAGAAACTTATGTTATGACAAGAGAATATTGAGAATAGATACTTGGAAATATTCCCATAGTAATGTGGTTTTGTTGACAAAAACAATTCTAAGCATTTCACCTATAAAATCTAGTCTGCATATCTGAAATTAGAATTTTCTAGTCTGTAAAATCTCCCAAATGAAGAGCTTTATTAGGTTTTAAATCTATGTTTTAAATATAAAAATATACTTATTTTGTAAGATTTGATTGCCATCAGAAAAGGTAAAATTTTACTAGCAGCTTCATAATTATTTAGACAGATAGATGGGACTGAAAAAATGTGTCATGATTTAGTAGGAGCTGCAATGACTCACTTTTTCTATTTGGACCTATATAATTTTGTAGGGCATCCTTTTTAGATATTTATGGCCACTCAGACAAATATGAAAATAATTTATAAACCAGACATTAAAATTAGCATCTCACAGAATGTTATACAAATATTAATAAAATAAATTCTAAATATTATACACTTGGGGTATGTATTCACATTTTCCTTTTTTCTGTTTGAGTTTAGGATGAAAATATCCAGGTACTACTGATGTAAGCACGCCTGCTGCTACAAGATGCCCCAGCCTTGAGCTGCCCAGTTACATGAGCCTTAGTCCTAGTATAAAGTCCTTACCATCAGAAGTGTCCACAATAGCTCATTTTAAGACAGAATGTGAAACATTTCTTTATAATATTATGTTTTTTTTCATTTAGTCTAGAAAAAAGCCTTATTCTGCACTTTTTTTTTAATTGAAGTGTCACATACTGACGTTTGACAGTGTTTTCTTCTCATTCAAGTTAAAGCCTTGGATCCCTTGCCTGGATCCCATCTCCACTGTTACCACCACTCCCCACCATCTCCTCTTCATTTTCTTTCTTTCTATCTTCAAACATTATTAATTCTTTCCTGTTTTGAAAACAAAACAAACAAAAAACAAAGTTTCACTTTTACTCTAGTTATCTATTTTGTATTTCCTTATTGCCAAAGCATAAACAAATAGGGAATCTATCCTCTGCTCCAATTTCATCTTCACTCACTCCTTTTTCATACCTTGGAAAAGGTTGGAAAGAGTCCATTGTTTATATTTGAAAATTTTCTCTTTTCTTTTTAAAGTCACTAATGACTAATGGATAATTGAATGCCCCTTTTCTATTCTTCTCTGTGGTTTCTCTGAAGCATTTCACACCACTGTCTAAAATCCTCATCACAGCTCTTTTTTGTCACTTCTCTGATGTTATACTATCATACCCTCTTCTCTAGGATAGCTGTTTACTCTTTGTTCATGTCCCTGAATTACCAATTTTCTATATTCATCACTATTTAATCCCTGACGCTCTGGATCAAAGAGGAATATATTCTTTATATAGGAACCTTTTTGTATTTTCCCCAAGTAATTTTTTCCCATCATCTAATTCAGTCATGATACTGTCAGGAAACTAAATCTACCCCCAGATTATTCAAATGAAGAGACTTAAATAAAAGGATTACACAGTTGCGGGCCGAGTGAAGGGCTGAAAAAAAAATAAAAGGATGGAGAGGTGCTTAGAAAAGAATAATATTGGGAAATTATCTCCACCTTGAGGGCTAAAGCAAAACAGAGACTCAAACTTACAAGAGCCCAGCGAGGCCTGAAACCTGGCAGGAGGAGACTGTTAAGGTGGAGCTGTAATGGTGGCGGGACACAGTTACCGTCAGAAATCAGACTTGAAGCCAGGAGGGAACAGAGAAGAAACACCCTGACTGCTTTCTCCTCCTACCAACCCCTCCAATTCCCTGTCCCTGCCTCCTATGGGCCAAACCCAACCTGAAGCCAGCTGATGAGTGAGGCTGGATAGGCAGTCTGTGGAGATCAGCCTCCTGAGGAACAGAGTGGGCAGAGGGTGAAGACAGCAAGCCAGTACATCACCTCTTTGCAAATAACTACATTTTTTTTTGCAGTTGGACCTCTCACATAAACCTAATTTCTAAGTCAACCGTCTATTAGCTATTTCCACGTGATTTTCTTTCTATTCCTTCAAATACGCTATGTCTAAAGGCAAGTACCATCTCCTTTTTCCAAACCTGACCCTCAACTAGCCTTACATTTCAACTCATGCCATGCTTGCTTTGTGATTTTCTCTGACCTGTATCCTAGTTCCACTATGTAATTCTGGGACCATATTTGACTTTACCTGAATCTTGAGACTCATTCTCTACTTTGAATCACACTGACAGAAATTTAATGTCTTATTTATTTCCAGTGTCTATCTCATCTTGCTCTTCCTACTATCCCATATCCTTGGGGAATGAAGTTTTGTCCTAGTGGCTGAAATCTGGCAGTTTACAGATGGTCTTCTGAGCAACTGTGGTGCATCTGATCTGCCTGGTTCTCTGAAGAGACCCTATTCTTAAAGCCTCAGCTGTCTTGCTCTGCCTATCTTTTAGAGCACCTATTGGGTGAGATTTTCCCCATGCTGACTCCCTGTCGGGGTGCCTTCTGGGTTAGCATTAATCTCCTGGTTTAGTGTTGTGTTTGCTAGACTAGATTTTCTTTTTAAAACTTATATGCAAATCTGTGATCCCTAGTGCCTGCCTCCTCTGGCAGGCACGTAGAGTTCTAGGTGCTAGTCCTTCCCAAGTGGAGAAACTACTGGATTGTTCTGAGTTATGGAGCTACTGTGATCTGCACTCTAGTTGAATAAGTCAGAAACTTTTTTCTTTTTTTTTGAGACAGGGTTTCACTCTTGCTGTCCAGGCTGGAGTGCAATGGCATGATCTCGGCTCACCGCAACCTCCACCTTCCAGGTTCAAGCAATTTTCCCGCCTTAGACTCCGGAGTAGCTGGGATTACAGGCACCCATCACCATGCCTGGCTAATTTTTATATTTTTAGTAGAGTCAGTGTTTCACCATGTTAGCCAGGCTGGTCTCGAACTCCTGAACTCAGGTGATCCACCAGCCTTGACCTCCCAAAGTGCTAAGATTACAGGCATGAGCCACCACTCCCAGCCCTTTTAACCTTTATTTTCCTGATCTAAAAAACATGCCGCCAAATTATTAAAATATAAGAAAATACAAAAAAGCATTGAAAGCAAATAAAATCCACCTATGTTTCTAATGTCAACATCCTGAAATAAAAACTAATAATATTGGGGGGTATTTCTAACTATTTCAAATATATATGGATACATATGTGCATGTGTGTGTGTGTGGTAATAAATATATACTTTAAAATACATATATAGATAATGTTCATATAATGTTTCACATATCTTTTACTTTTATTTATTTATTTGTTTTTAGACAAGTTCTTACTCTGTCGCCCAGACGGGAGTGCAGCGGTGCAATCAAAACTCACTGCAGCCTCAACCTCCTGGGCTCAAGTGACCCTCCCACCTCAGCCTCCTAAGTAGCTAGGACCACAGGCATGTGCCACCACACCCAACTAATTTTTTAATTTTTTTGTAGAGTGGGGGCCTCCCTATGTTGACTAGGCTGGTCTTGAACTCCTGGACTCCCACTTCAGCCTCCCACAGTACTGAGATTACAGGCATGAGCAACTGCATCTGGCTCATATCTCTTTCAAAAATAATATATGTATATACACAACATATTCATGAATAAACATATGAATAAAATATGTATGAAAATATATGTATAGATATGTGTACATAGTTTTATAGGCCATCTTTTTAGCTTAATATTTTTCATGAAAAAATAAGTTCCTAAATACTTTTGGAAAACATTTTACTGGCTAAATAATATTGCGTGTAAGGATGCGCCATGAGGCACTCTGTCACCCACTTTGTTGAATCCTTTTATTTGCTTCCAGCTTGTATCTTTGTAGAGCATCAGATTTTTTTTTCCTTTAGGACAGAGTCTGCAAAGTGGGATTACTGAGTCAAAGGGAATTAGCTTTATTAAAGGCTCTTGAAACACACTGTGAAGTTGCTGTCGAAACAAAATAAAGCAATATGTGCTTCTACCAGAAGTGTTTGTGCACACATGTACCAATGTCCCTTTCTTGCCACGTTCTTCTTACAGGGAATATTTTTCTTAAATACTATTTTAAATTTTTGTGGGTACATAGTGTGTGTGTGTGTGTGTGTGTGTGTGTGTGTGTGTATAGTGCATGAGATGTTTTATACAGGCATGCAATTTGAAATAACTACATCATGGAGAATGGGGTATGTATCCCCTCAGACCTTTTTTCTTTGAGTTACAAACAATACAGTTACATTCTTTTAGTTATTTTAAAATGTACAATTAAGTTATTGTTGACTGTATTCACTCTGTTGTGCTATCAAATAGTAGGTCTTATTCATTCCTTCTGTTGTTTCTAACCCATTAACTATCTCTCCGTGCCCCACAGCCCCTACTACCTGTCCAAGCCTTTAGTAACCATCATTTTACTCTCTATCTCCATGAGTTCAATTGTTTTGATTATTAGATCCCACAAATAAGTGAGAACAAGCAAAATTTGTCTTTCTGTGCCTGGCTTATTTCACTGAACATAATGATTTCCATTTCCATCCATGTTTTTGCAAATGACAGGACCTCGTTCTTTTTATGGCTGAATAGTACTCCATTGTGTATATGTACTACATTTTCTGTATCCATTCATCTATTGACGAACATTTAGATTGCTTCCAAATCTTAGCTACTGTGAACAGTGCTGCAACAAACATGAATGTGTGGGTATTTCTTTGATAAACTGATTTCCTTATTTTGGGTATATACCCAGCAGTGGGACTGCTGGATCATATGGTAGCTCAATTTTTAGTTTTTTGAGGAGCCTCCAGACTGCTCTTCACGGGGCTGTGCTAATTTACATTCCCACCAACAGTGTACAAGGATTCCCTTTTCTCCACGTTCTCACCAGCATTTGTTACTGTCTGTCTTTTGGATAAAAGCCATTTAACTGGGGTGAGATGATATCTCATTGTACTTTTGATTTGCATTCCTCTGATGATCCATGATGTTGAGCACTTTTTTATAGCCTGTTTCATTTATATGTCTTCTTTTGAGAAATTCCTGTTCAAATCTTTTTGCCCATTTTCTAATCAGATTATTATATTTTTTCCCTATAGAGTTTTTTGAGTTCCTTATGTATTCTGGCTCTTAATCCCTTGTCATATGGGTAGTTTGCAAACATTTTCTGCCATTGTGTGGGTTGTCTCTTCACTTTGTTGATTGTTTCCTTTGGTGTGCAGAAGCTTTTTAACTTGATGTGATTCTATTTGTCCATTTTTGCTTTGGTTGCCTGTTGTGGGGCATTGCTGTGGGGTATTGCAATATCTGTTTGTGGGGTATTGCTCAAGAAATTTTTGCCCAGACCTATGTCCTAGAGATTTCCCCTGATGTTTCCTGGTAGTAGTTTCATAACTTGAGGTGCTAGATTTAAGTCTTTAATCCATTTTGATTTGTTTTTTTGTATATGTTGAGAGATTGTATATGTTTAGTTTCATTATTCTGCATATAGATATCCAGCTTTCCCAGCACTATTTATTGAAGAGGCTGTTTTTTTCCCAGTGTATGTTCTTGGCACCTTTGTCGAAAATGAGTTCACTATAGGTGTCTGGATTTATTTCTGGGTTCTCTATTCTATTCCATTGGTTTATGTCAGTACACGTCATTTTGGTTACTATAGCTGAGCAGTATAATTTGAAGTCTGGTAATGTGATTACTTTATTTTTTTTTCCTTAGGATACCTTTAGCTCTTCTGGGTCTTTTGTGATCCCATATAAATTTTAGGATTTTTTTTCTATTTCTGTGAAAAATGTTATTGGTATTTTGATAGGGATTGGATTGAAATGTAGATTGCTTTGGGTAGTGTGGACACTCAGACCACAAGATGCAGTCTTTCCAGCTCTTCTCCCCTCTTTCCAAAAGCAAAGGAGTTTTGCATGGTACCACTGCCTCCACAGACCATGTCCCTTAAGGCCCAAGTGCTGCCTAGCCTAGGACTCACACTTCAGGGCAGCGGGCTCCCCTCTGACTCAGGGCAGGCCTAGAGATTGCTGTCCAAGAGTCAAGTCATGAAATCAGGGACCCCAAGAACATACTTGCTGCTGTGATTATGCTGGTACCTGAAGCCAGAAAGTCTCAGAAACTCACCCAAGGCCCTCGACGTAGTACCTGGGTATTACTGCTGGTTATTCAGGGCCCAGTGACTCTTCCATTAGCAGGTGATAAATGCTGCCAGGACTGGGTCTTCCTTTTCAAGGCAGTGGGTTCATTTCTGGCCAGGTTGTGTCTAGAAATGTCGTTTGGAGCTAGGGCCTGGAATGGGGTCCTCACGACTCTGACCAGTGCTTTATCCTGCTGTGGCTTAGCTGGTACCCAAGATGTAAGACAAAGTCCTCCCTGTTCTTCCCTCTCCTCTCCTCAAGTGGAAGGAAACGGTCACTTCTGCAGCCATGAAATGTGCAGCCTGGGGTTTGGGGAGGGGTGATGCCAGCACTCCCTTAGCTGCCCTAGCTGGTGTCTCACTAGATCATGTTTCCCCCCACAGTGCACTGTCTCTGGGCCTACTTCTGCACTAGGACTTGCCTAAGAGTTACAGTGAGAGGTGACAGCGTGCTGGCAGTCCTCACAGCCCTCGCGCGCTCTCGGCGCCTCCTCTGCCTGGGCTCCTACTTTGGCGGCACTTGAGGAGCCCTTCAGCCCACCGCTGCACTGTGGGAGCTCCTTTCTGGGCTGGCCAAGGCCGGAGCAGGCTCCCTCAGCTTGCAGGGAGGTGTGGAGGGAGAGGCGCAAGCGGGAACCGGGGCTGCACGCTGCGCTTGCGGGCCAGCTGGAGTTCTGGGTGGGCGTGGGCTTTGCGGGCCCCGCTCTCGGAGCAGCCGGCCGGCCCTGCTGGCCCCGGGCAATGAGGGACTTAGCACCCAGGCCAGCAGCTGCCGAGAGTATACTGGGTCCCCCAGCAGCGCGAGCCCACCGGCGCCGCGCTCGATTTCTCACCGGGCCTTAGCTGCCTTCCCTCAGGGCAGGGCTCGGGACCTGCAGCCCGCCATGCCTGAGCCTCCCACCCCTTCCATGGGCTCTGTGCGGCCGCAGCCTCCCCGACAAGCGCCGCCCCCTGCTCCAGGGCGCCCAGTCCCATCGACCGCCCAAGGGCTGAGGAGTGCGAGCCCATGGTGCAGCACTGGCAGGCAGCTCCACCTGCGGCCCCTGTGTGGGATCCACTGGGTGAAGCCAGCTGGGCTCCTGAGTCTGGTGGGGATGTGGAGAGTCTTTATGTCTAGCTCAGGGATTGTAAACACACCAATCAGCACCCTGTGTCTAGCTCAGGGTTTGTGAGTGCACCAATCGACACTCTGTATCTAGCTGCTCTGGTGGGGCCTTGGAGAACCTTTATGTCTAGCTCAGGGATTGTAAATACACCAATCGGCACTCTGTATCTAGCTCAAGGTTTGTAAACACACCAATCAGCACCCTGTGTTTAGCTCAAGGTTTGTGAGTGCACCAGTCGACACTCTGTATCTAGCTGCTCTGGTGGGGCCTTGGAGAACCTTTGTGTGGATACTCTGTATCTAACTAATCTGATGGGGAGGAGGAGAACCTTTGTATCTAGCTCAGGGATTGTAAATGCACCAATCAGCGCCCTGTCAAAACAGGCCGCTGGGCTCTACCAATCAGCAGAATGTGGGTGGGGCCAGAAAAGAGAATTAAAAAAAGCAGGCTGCCACAGCCGGCAGTGGCAACTCGCTGGGGTCGCCTTCCACATCTTGGAAGCTTTGTTCTTTCACTCTTTGTAATAAATCTTGCTGCTGCTCACTATTTGGGTCCACCCTGCTTTTATGAGCTGTAACACTCACCGCAGAAGTCTGCAGCTTCACTCCTGAAGCCAGCAGGACCATGAGCCCACCAGGAGGAGCGAACAACTCCAGACGCCCCGCTTTAAGAGCTGTAATACTCACCGCGAAGGTCTGCAGCTTCACTCCTGAGCCAGCGAGACCATGAACCCACCAGAAGGAAGAAACTCCGAACACATCCGAACATCAGAAGGAACAAACTCCAGACACGCCACCTTAAGAGCTATAACACTCACCGCGAGGGTCCGCGGCTTCATTCTTGAAGTTAGTGAGACCAAGAACCCACCAATTCCGGACACAATAGTACTTACGGCCTAGACTGCTTCTCACGTTTGCTTAAGAGACACAGAGTACTGTAGCTCTTCCTGGAGAGGTTTACAGAAAGCCATGTTCAGACCACTGGGATTTGTGATTCTCCTCTGGCTAGGGCTGGTTTACATGCTCCCTCCATGGTGGGGAGTGGGGTGTCAGCTAAATTTGGTCCAGTGTTCCTTTCTGCTCTAACAGGACGGCGCTGAGTTTAATGTCTCACAATTGCTGTGGTCTCTCTCTCTCCCCCAGCATCCAGAGATGCTTTCCACACCACGCTGCCATGTGGGGAAGGGGAGAGAATCCTCCACAATTCAGGACTGTTTTTTTTCTGTCTCTTCAGTGCATTTTTCAGCGATATGAAGCTAAAGACAGATACTACGAGTCCTCACCTGATAACTGGTTCTTATGAAGGTGTTTTTTCTGTGTAGAGAGTTGTTAATTGGTGTCCTTGTTGAAGGGATGATGGGTGAAGCATTCTATTCCTCCGTCTTGCTGTGCCTCCTCCCTCTCAAGTGAGTATTTTTACATTAGAAAAATTCTCGACTTATGTGGCTCAAATTTCCTTAGTGTTTAAATGATGTTTCTTTTACTGCATCATGATAAACAGAGAACATTTTGAAGAAACTGGACTCCTTATTGTCTCACAGTAAAAACAAAATGGAGGACACCTTCCCTTATCTTTGTGTCCTTCCCAGCTTATTTTCCATTGGATGTGTTCTATCTGTTTACTTGTCTCTCAAGGAGCCAGGGAAATTTGTACTTACCTGTAAGAAAGATAGTAAATGAAAACTACCCAGGAATCCCTTCCTGGATGAGTGTACAGGGCACTCAGAAGTTAACGGTGCATTCCAAGGTTAGAGGTCTCGATTGGAGGCTATATCGGATGAAAATTTGACTCACAGTGTGACAATAGCAAAAGAAACTCTGTTAACCTTCTTCTTTTCTGTGATAAGACATGTAGAGAAACAGAAAAGACAGTTTCAATTTCTTTTCGTGGCCTTTAAAAAACTATGTTGTTCCTGCCTTTAAAAAACTATGTTGTTCCTCCCTTCCTGCTCCCACTTCTTTTTGATATGTGTGATACTTGTTGATGAAAATGTAAAGAAAATGCACCATATGAGGTTCTGTGGTACTTTTCTTAATTTCGAGAACGGAAGTGTGAAATTCTCTGAAGTATGGTGCTAAAGGTATATAAATGCTGTCTTATTTTGAGAATTAGCTCAGTAAACCTATCTCTAATTTTGCCCATAAAAAAGAGAAGCCATTCTCTTCAGTTTGTTCTACGAGGCTTTACTTCCATTTATCAGCCATTCCCTCTACAAGCAGAAGAGGATCTTGAAGATATATATGTGTGTATGTGTGTGAGTGTGTGTGGGTGTGTGGATTGTTATTTCACTATATTAAAAACCATGAATCTTTCATGTGAGAGTTTATAAGATAAGCTACATTGTCTCCATGACAAATGAAAGGTAAGACAAAGCAGTAAATATTTATCTTAGTCAAAATAAGAGCTCAAAAATATTCTTGTGTTGTTAATTTCCATTTTTCCCTGTCATTAGCTTTGTACTACTTCTTGTCAATTTCCCAAAGGGAAATAGAGCAAAACAAATGGAAAAGAGTTTCTGGCTTCCTCTCTCTTTTAAAAAAATTAAAAAAAAAGAAAGAAAAAGAAAAAGAGAAATCCCAACTGAAAACAACATTTAAATCAAGCTTATAGTCACACATTTTGATATCAAAAAATGTTTTGCCAGTTGGAGACTGAAAACATGGATCTAATCACAAGCTTCTTTTCTCATCAATATCAATTTTCTTTTAGAGGCATTTATTTGCTAATTTTCAAAGGTGAGTTAATAATTTCTCTTAAGTCTGAGAACTCATCTTGAACAAAAATATCATAGAAAGAATCTATACATAGCATTTAAATCTTTTTTATCAGTCTTTTGTACCATGTGTAGTGAATTATGTCCTTGAATTCATAATTAGAGGAGGGAGCAGATGGCTGGGACTTATTGTAAAATTTTGTGCCTATTAAACAGTAAGTTATGCATTCTCAGTAACTATTCTTTGTGGTGAGATAAGCCAAATATTTAAATTATTTTAAAGGATGAAACAAAATACATTTTCTCCTGTAGATTAATGCGCTCTATACATCAGAATCACTTGACAGTTGTTTTTGAATTACTATATGCTAACTGCATGGAATCTTTTTTCTAAATCCTTTTCATAGATATTGCGATACAGACACTTTTGGAACAAGGGTTCTTGTAATGCAACCAGCAATTTTATCCCTTTCCACTGTATTTTCAAACCCTTCCTTTATGATGACTATTTTCAAACCCTTCCTTTATGATGACTATTTTCAAAGGTATTTGATCTACATCAAAGCTATCTTACTTTTTCTTTTTATAAAGATACATTTGAGCATGGGGGCTATGGGTAGAGACAGATGATTGAGCCCATCATTTTCTGATTTTGTTCTAATTGTACCCAGAAGAGGTGCTGAGAGTAGGCAGCTGCCAGAGGTGTGCCTATATATCCTAGTAGTACCCACACATTCACAACCCCAGTTCAGTGATGCATGCACTCATTCTTTCTTACAAGTACACGCACATCACACACACTACTTGAACACCTGTGCTTACCAAGAACTTTCTACTTTGTCTTTATGTACATTTTGATTACCTCCTGCTAGCTGTAGCTGAAAAAAGCATTTTAATTTTATGAGAAATAAAATATGAGGATAGTCAAGTACAATGCTTTTGAGGACAACATCATTATACCTTAAACATTCAACTGTCAATTGGCACAATTGTTAAACTTATAGTATAGCAGTGGCATTAGAGAGGCTATATTGTTGGAAGAAAGTTTTTGGAGTGACTTCTATTCTGTCTAAACAGATTTTTATAGGTATTTTAGCTCTCATGTTTCTCTGCTTAAAATAGTCTTTCAGACAGACTATAGGACCACACTTGCTGACTGAGTAGGGCAGGAATTAAACAAATGAATTCATTTTTTCATTTCTGCTCTGTGTTTCATGTTTTTTAATGAATAATTGTTGTATTTTTTTGTCTAAAATTACATGAAATTCTGGAAATCTCTGCCTTGGCATTTAGTAAAATGAATATACAGACACATCATCTTATGTCGAAAGTCATGTTAACAAAAAGGGGTTGCTCAAAATGCGGGCATAATTAATGTTTTGTTGAGCAAGAAACCACACATTGTTTGCAAAGATTTTAAAAAATATACTACATGTGTTTTGTTGAGAGAAAGGTGTTTCCAGATCTTTTATGCAGATGATGAAAGCAATACAAAGAAAGGACTGATACTATGTTTGCAATAAAACCTGGCTGGGCCTCACTTGTATTCTTAGTTGTAACAATTCTCGTATTTTTAGGATCAACTCTTTAATGGATCAGCTCTGAAAACAGATATACCTGGATGGCCTCCAAACTGGTCTCAATCCAGACCTCATTGGCCTGTCTTATTCTAGAGCTTTTTCATTATCTTTGAGGATTCCAGTGTTTAAAGAACAACCAAAAATCTAGGAGCTATGGACACTGGTAGGATTAGGATCCTGCTATATATTTAATTCAGGTTCAGAATCTTAAACTTTGACCAGTTTCAAATATCTGGGTTGACCATACCATTCACCTAGGATTTGGGTTGCTCCTAGGGAACATTTTAGGATTTTAGATCAGGAGTCTCTGCTCCCAGACTTCTGAGGGTCTCCTTTAAAATAAAGTATGTAACAGGACATTTTGGTAGAAATGGGACATCTTTTTGTTGCTTCTTCCAATTGGTTACTCTTCTTATGGGAAGTATACACCTCATAATGATACAGTTTTTGTATTTGATACATAGGATTTGGTCCATGAATTAAAAGGATCCTCGAATGCCATGAAGAATGAGGGTGGCACCCTACAGACCAGCAACAATGACTGGTGTCCATGTGGACATGTGAATAAGTTAAAAAAGTCAACAGTGATTGATATTGTGTTGGCTTTGTGCAGGCAGAGACTTTTCATTAATTATTGCAGTATGTGAGAGTGTTACATATATATGTGTGTGTATATATGTATGCACCAATATGATAGATAATATAGGCTCTTCAATTCTAATCACCTTTGCACTCATGCATTGTAATCAGAATATTGTATGCCTTACAATAGTGAAGTAGTATTTTGAACTTTTAAACTCAACTCACTACCCTTCCTTAAGATTCTGTGATTTTCTCTTTCTTTGGTTTTTATATGCACATATATGTGTATATATACATAGATACACACACACACACACACACATAGGAACTCCAGATAATTCATAGAGAAATGGAATTAAAAGATATAAGTAAAAAATATAAGCTTTATTTCTCAACATAAGTTCCATCAAGTTTAAGACACTTTTGTAAGCAGTGACACCAGTTATTTAGTCTATTCCTAAAGAACTGAAGGTCTTGTGAATTTCACCGTGTTGATGCAGTGTTTTTAATTTTTAACATTATTAACTGAAGAAAAATAGGTGCCCTTTACAGATTTTTGTTTTTTTTAAGAATAGTGATAGGCTTTGCTGTGTCCCGCCCAAATCTCATCTTGAATTGTAGTTCCCATAATCCCCACATGGCTTGGGAGAAACCCAGTGAAAAGTGATTGAAGCATGGGGGTGGTTTCCCCCATGCTGCTCTCATGATAGTGAGTGAGTACTCACGAGATCTGATGCTTTTATAAGTGTTTGGCATTTCCCCTGCTGGCACTTCACCTTCCTGCTGCCCTGTGAAGAAGCTGCCTTTCTTCCCCTTCATCTTCCGCCACGATTGTTTCCTGAGGCCTTCCCAGCCATGAAGAACTGTGAGTCAATTAAACCGATTTTCTTTATAAATTACCCAATCTCAGGTATTTCTTCATAGCATTGTGAAAATGGACTAATACAATTAGGAAACAAAAAGGAGTCAGAAGGAGCCAATTCAGGACCAAAAGTGGATGCCTAATAAGTTTCCATTGAAACTAACAGAATTACCCTTGTTTAATGAAAGAAATGACCAGGAGCATCATGGTGGAGAAAGACTCCCTGTTAAAGCTTTCTGGGGTATTTTTATGCTACAGCTTTGGCTTTCTTAGAAACAAACAGACAAACAAAATTCTCTCATAATAAGAAGATGTCACTGTTCTTTGGCTCCCCAGAAAGACAACAAGCAAAATACCTTACCTTGAGCACCCCAAAAAACTGTTGCCATATTCTTTGCTCTTGACTGGTCTGCTTTTTCTTTGACTGGACCACTTTCGTCTCTTGATAGACATTGCTTTGATTGTGTTTTGTTTTCAGGATCATACTAGTAAAGCCATGTTTTATCTCTTGTTACAATTACTTGAAGAAATGCTTCAAGATCTTGATCCCAATTGTATAAAATTTCCACTGAAAGCTCTGCTCTTTTCTGCATCTGATCTAGGCACAATAGTTTTGGCACCCATCAAGTGGAAAGTTTGCTCAACCTTAACTTTTCAGTCAGAATTGTGTAAGTTGAACCAACTGAGATGTCTATAGTGTTGGCTATTGTTTCTGCAGTTAATCATTGGTCCTCCTAAATTAGGGCATGGGCAAGATTAATTTTTTCCTCACAAATTGATGTGGATAACCTGCCACTGCAGGCTTCATCTTCAATATACTCTTGTCCCTTCTTAAAGTGAGTTATCTCTTTGTAAACTGCTGATTTCTTATGGGGCATTTTTCCCATAAACTTTTCATAAAGCATCAGTGATCTCACTATTCCTCACCTAAGCTTCACCATAAATTTGATGTTTTGCTTCAATGTTAGCAGAATTTATGTTGCTCTGATAGGGACTCTTTTCAAACTGATGTCTTATCCTTCGTAGTGCCTCAAACTAGATCCTGTCCAGACATGTTATAAGAAGTTAGGAAGCTTTTATTTTGGCAGAAAACATTTTTAAAATTCATGGATTATTTAATAATATACACTTTCCATGATTTTTTTTATGAGACAGGGTCTTGTTCTGTGGCCCAGGCTGGAGTGCAGTGGCGTGATCATAACTCCTTGCAGTTTCCAACTCTTGGGCTCAAATGATCCTCCTGAGTATCTAGGACTACAGGTGCACATCACCATACCTGGCTAATTATTTTAATTTTATTTTGTAGGACAGGATATTGCTATGTTGCCCAGGCTGGTCTTGAACTCCTGGCCTCAAGCGATTCTTCCAAAGAGCTGAGATTACAGGCATAACCTACGATGCCAGGCCTCCATGAGCATTTTTAAAACCTCTTCTATATCTCCAAAAATATCTCCTCAATCACTCAGAAATTGATACTATTTCCTCATTTCTATTGCCTCTAATCAACTACAACTATTACAGTAAATTAGCCAATATATAACTAGATTTTATCTTCCCTTTTTTTGTATGATTTCCATTTATTTCAGAAAGTTTGCATATAGCAATTACCTGAGAGTCATTTTTTTTAATTATACTTTAAGTTCTAGGGTACATGTGCACAACGTGCAGGTTTGTTACATGTGTATACATGTGCCATGTTGGTGTGCTGCACCCATTAACTCATCATTTACATTAGGTATATCTCCCAATGCTATCCCTTCCCCCTCCCCCCACCCCATGACAGGCCCAGTGTGTGATGTTCCCCCACCCCATGACAGGCCCAGTGTGTGATGTTCCCCTTCTTGTGTCCAAGAGTTCTCATTGTTCAATTTCCACCTATGAGTGAGAACATGCGGTGTTTGGTTTTTTGTCCTTGTGATAGTTTGCTGAGAATGATGGTTTCCAGCTTCATCCATGTCCCTACAAAGGGCATGAACTCATCCTCTTTTATGGCTGCATAGTATTCCATGGTGTATATGTGCTATCTTCCCTTTTTAATTCTTTTGAAATTGCTCTGGGAATTCATGAAAATTCTAATCTAGGATAAACAGTATACAATAAAAACATTCAGTGTGAATTACGTTACTGAGGAGTTTTTCTCTCCCGATAGCTGAAACATTAAATTTGTCTGAAATATTGTTGAATACTGGGGAGGGTAATTTGATACTAGTCTCACAAGAAGTAACCTGGAATTTAGACATCATTTAAATCACCTTCCATCAGAAGCAAATTAGAATGTTCAGCTAAAACAAAAAAAAGAACTTTATCTAGAGATTGATTTTTAAAATAGGAGCATATGCATTATCATTTGTCAGTGCTATGTCCTCAGTTGTTGTAGTCGTCATATAATACTTGTTTCTGTTAAATCTGTCATTAGTGCATGAGACTACAGATTTTCTAGTACACACCTGACTTTATATAGATTAAGGTAAGAGATTATCCACTTCTATCGTGCTAGAAAATAAGGATTTCTAGAAAACGTTTATTAAAAAAATTAAGTCTCTATTAGATACAAACTATTAAAAATAACTGCCTAAACTAAGATTTTGCTTTCTCCCTGGGAATTCCTGACTTCTGGATTTCTCAGGATTCAGCAGAAATCCCATTTCCGGGTTCTCTTCTTGTGCTGGGCACTATTTCAGAAAAATCAGAAGTATGTCTTAGATTTCCCCACTTGATGTCCAGATCCAAAAGTGTGAGGTTCAAAGCCTGTCTTATCAGTCTTGGTTTTAGTTTCAGAACTTATGCATTCTTTGGAACATGTTTATTCAAGTATTAAAGAGTATCAAGTTACATGGCACTTTTGATTTTTTTTTTTTTTTGAGACAGAGTCTCCTCTGTCACCCAGGCTGAAGTGCAGTGGCGCGATCTTAGCTCACTGCAAGCTCCGCCTCCCGGCTTCACGCCATTCTCCTGCCTCAGCCTCCCAAGTAGCTGGGACCACAGGTGCCCGCCACCAATACAAATTTTTTATATTTTTAGTAGAGACGGGGTTTCACCATGTTGGCCAGTCTGGTCATGAACTCTTGACCTCATGTGGTCCACCCGCCTCGGCTTCCCAAAGTCCTGGGATTACAGGTGTGAGCCACTGCACCCGGCCTTTTTAAAAAAATATAGATGAAATCCAGAGGATATTTACAAAATGCATGCAAAATTTAAAAAATAATGTACAGTAACATAAATAGACCACACAACTTAGAAAAAAATTTACCCTCATGCAATCACCTGTGCTCCTCTCTGAGTCCCTGTCCTACTTCATTCACCCTCAGCTGTAACCATCATAATGAGTTCTGGATTTATTATTCTTTTGCTTTTCTATACAGCTTAATTTTATGTTTGTATTCCGAATAATATATCATTAGATTAACAAATTATTGAAATGTATGTGATTGAATTTGAATTATATTGTAAGTATTCTTCTACAATTTTTTGCCACTCAAAATTATTTTCTTAAGATCCATTCATGTTGTTGTATCTAGCTGTAATTCATCTATTTTCTCTGCGGTATCAGATTTTATTTACAACCATTTGCAACCATTTATTTACAAATTCAACTGTTGATAGATGCATGGGATTTTGATGAGGTAATTTTGATGTCCAGTTTTCTATATAGGAAATATTTTCATTTTCATTTATTTCATATCTCCAAACACAAAGCGATTGACTTTTGAACATTTAAAAAAATTTCAATTTAACTGCCCTCTCTAACATCACACCTTCCCTGATTCCCTTCTGTCCTGAGCCTTTTTCATTCCAGACAAACACTTTATCTCACCTCTCTGTATGTTACTGTGAGCAATGATGTAAAAGAAGATTGAGTTTAAAGGAAAGATTACTAGTCAGGAATGAGTTTGGACAGTCAGTTGATAATAACTTTTAAGAGAGTAAAATTTCATACTTATCTAAATGTTCTGCTTTTTTAGTTTCATCACATCATGTTTTAAAATAAATAAAATGCCTTGGTGATAAACCATTACAACTCACTTAGGCTGATGTCCTTTTCATATATAAACACACAAAGCTTAGAGATTACCATACAATTTACTATATAATTTCCTGCCGGTCGATATGCCTGGCTGGGAGTATCTGAATTTTGTTCTTTGTATCACTCCTATTTAACGGAGAAAAAATTGCTATTGCCACCAAAAGAGAAGGACAATCAACAGCCTTTTCCTTCACTATTTTCAATGATTTTCTGAAAAGGGAGCTAATTCCCCTAGGATAATACTTTATAAAATGTGTAAGAGCTTATTATGGTTCAGGGAAATGCAGTGCTGTCTCGGGAAGAAAGCGAAGTAAATTTATATGGGAGATTAGAAGAGTGGCTGTAGAGGGGCTGAGATTGTAGCCAAAAATTAATTAACTTCACAGAGAGTTAGCATGGCTCATATCTTAAGGCCTTATTGGGAATTTGTTGTTTTTCCTCATTGATTGATTTAGTGCATTGTGTATGTCAGAAATAAATACAACAAAGCTTAAAATGAAAATTTCTTACATTGCACGTTGAGTAATTTTAATTAACACTTTTATACTACTTATACTTTAAAAGCAAAAGTTAAAGCTTATGTTAGGGAATCAAAGGCTATCAAACCACACTCCATGAATCTATACCATATAGGCTTTACTTCTGCAGTCATTCACATTTCACTGTAAGAAAACGAACAAGGGAACATTTTGATGATTTTCAGGAGAAACACTAGTCTGTTTTCTCCATCCACTTCTGTTATCTTCCTTTTATGGCATTACATCTGTTAAAATGTAATACCTTATGATAATAAAAAAATACTTCTAGCCTTCTTTCTGACATACTGACAAATTTCCCTCTCTTTGAAATTTAGAATGTGGTATTGGAAAGTATAGACTTGAAAATATAGTTAATGTATTACCTTCTCATAAATGAAGAACTTACAATTAATAAATATTCAAACTGAAGTACAATCCATGTGAGTTTGCTAAATTTATACACAAGTAGGCAATGGGGCTCATTCACATTCTCAGGAGAGAACTAAGGCTGAAATAGGAAGGAGGCATTTATCATTGGCGAAAATGCCTTTGATGGGACAATAGGCCTGAGCAATGTGCAGAGGGACAGTATTGTGCAAACCAGATTGATAAGACATGTGGTTATGGAAATGCCCTGGCCCTACAGCTATGCCACTCTACCAACTAGGTTATGTTGACCTTGGATTAATAATAAGCTCTTTCTTTTATTTCCTTATCTGAAAAATGCTGAAAGCTGTACCTAATCTACCTACTTCACAGTATTATTATAATAATGAAATAGAAAAAATTATATGAAAGATGTATGAATTTTTAAGTATTATACTCATTTTAAAAATAATAACATTGTTGGTGTTCACTTGCTCCTCACAGTGGTAGAAAGTATGGCTCACATGTTTCTTAGATGGAGGTGCAGCTTAGAAAGTCTCTAACTTGTCAAATGCCACATTTAATAATACTATTAATATATTTGGGATTTCATTACAGGGTAATTCCTATGGCCTCCATTTTAAAGATGTTTAAGAATAGAGCAGGTTTTTTGTTTTCTTTTATTTTTATGTAAAGGACTTCGATGGTGGTGCTATTTTAGGTTAAACTTGATTTTGGCTGCCAGTTACAGAATGCAAAACATAGTAGTTTACGAGATAAAATAAAAAGGATTGTATACATGTTTATACAACTTCAGCAGTCAACTTCAAATGATTATCCCAATGCCCCCCTGGCCCTAGCATTTAAAGCTTTGCATACTCCCCTCCCAAATTGTGTCAGGATTGATCTGTGTGACCAATAGATTACAGCAGAAGTGATGGTATGTGACTTCTGAGGCTAAGTTATGAAGGACATTGTAGCTTTCTCCTTGCTTTTTCTTGAATTGTTCAGTCTAGGCTGAGTGAGCTCCCTGCTGTGTCTTGAGGACACTCAAGCAGCTCTACAGAGAAATCCACATGATGAGGAACTGCGCATTCTTGGTAAAAGTCACTGGGAAACTGAGGCCTCTGGCCAATAGCCATGTGAGTGAGCCACCATGGAAAGTATCCTTCATCCCCAGTTAAGCCTTCAGATGATGGACTCCCCAGCTGACATCTTTTCTTCAGTCTCATGAGAAACATTAAGTCAGAGCTGCCCATCAGATCTATTCTTGTATTCCTGACTCTCAAAAACTATGAGAGTTAATACATGTTTGTTGTTTCAAGCTGCAATGTTTGGGCTAATTTGTCATAAAGAAATAAATACCTAATACAACAATGGAGGCATCCCATAAGAGAAATTTTTGAGGCACATATGGATTGAAAACTGTGGTCAGAGCTATATTCTGCTTTATCTCATGGCTGTACATTTATCTGTGTCTTTTTTATTTTCAGACTCTTTCTATGTCATAGAAATGATGACCACCAGGAGATTCTGGCTCACATTAAATTTACAGCTTTTAATTTTCAATGAAAAGTAAAATCTTATTTTTTTCTTTCCACATTGATAAATATACCCTTATAGAGGACTCTGAATAGTGCAACTTGAGACACATGTCACCTTTTAGACCAATCATTTTGGGCAGCCAGGCTACTCCATGTGGCCTTTATATTACTATGTACACCGTAGTTGGCCAGACACATGTCATGGGGCATATTCACTACCATTGAGGAAAAGAAGTATGTTACAGGCAGTCCCATAGAAATCATAGAAATCATATTGAATATGGGTAGGGATCTTCTGCAAATAATAGGGTATTGGCTAGTGAAACAACACACATTCATCATAGGATAGGTAGGTGTCACTCCACAGGAAAGAAAGAGTAGTTTATTCTGCTTCCCTTTACACTTTCACTAGGGTAAGGAAAACCAGATGGAACACCTATTTGTCAGATTGCAGGGTTACTATTATTTTCTCTAAAGGTTGGCCTACTATGTGCTACAGATAAGAAAAAGGCAACATAATTTTTATTTTAATGGAGACATCTGAAATATGTTCTTTGTTAGAATATCAAAACTCATTTGAAAAACAAAATTTTATAAGTTGGTAGACAATTGAATCAATGTTATGTTGGGAAAGAAATGGTTGAATACATTTGGATATAAGGGTGGCCCAAGGAACTCTCTAAGCCTCTTTCCTACTCCCCTCCCTTTGGCCTCAAAATAATCCACAGTGGAGTTATCACAGGTCCTGGAGCCTTGTGCACTCTGGCTAAAACCAGGTCTCCGTGCTCGTCTCTGCTCTTGTTGAACATTTTCTGAATTATTTTCACATAATTGCTTAAGCAAATAAATCCCTCAAAGAAGAGGCTGTAATTGGAATTGGTTATCCACCTGCTTTTAGAAGATCCTTAGAAATCATTCTATTATACTTGGCATCTCAGTTTACCTCAGTCCCCACCAGAGGTGCAATCCTCCCAGGGATTCAGCTCCTTTGTACGTAGGGCTTGGTACATCCTTGGTTTCATGGCTCCACACCAATCTGTTAGCAAAACCTATTGGCTCTACCTTCAAAATATTGTATATCCTAAATCCAACAGCTTCTCACCCCTGCTATTCAACAGTTTAGTCTAAGCCATCATCATCTCTATCCTGGGCTAGGGTGATGGTTACCTAACTGCTTGTCCTCTTACTTCCCTAAAATCAACTCTCCATTTAACAGCTGAGCTGGAATGAACCTTTAAGCATGTAAATCAAATACTTTTATTTCCTTTACCAAAACCCTCCAATTGCTTTATGTTATAATCAGAAAAAATCTAAGGTCCTCACAATGGCCTACAAAGTCCTACATGATCTGCCCATGTGTGTGTCTCTGACTCTACCTGCTACCACTCTCTACCTCCTTACTCTGTTCTCGCTGCAGTGGCCTTTTTGGTGTTTCCTAAACTCACCATGTTAAAAGTTCTCATCTCAGATTCTTTGCATTTGCTGTTTCCCCTTTTTGTAATGCTCTTTTACTTCAGCTGCATGTATCCCAATATCTTACTTTATTCAGGTCTCTGCTCAGATGTCACCTGAGGTGGGATTTGCTTGGTGTTCCTATCTAAAATAGCTCCCATGTCCACCATTCTGCTTATTATCCAAGATGATTTTGTAGGTTTAATATATAGACAAGTAAAGAGAAGTGATTATATATCTCACTATATAAGAAACTGGCATGAATGGCTAGAGTGGAAAATGTACAGAGCTGAAGTCTATATTAAAATACTGTATAGAGTAAAAATCATAGGCTCCAAGTAGACCATGGACAGCCCCTGGGAGAGCAGCATCTCTAGCCAGAGAATGCATATGAAGAGGCAGTGAGTATCTGCAACATGAAAACTTTCCAGGGCCAGATACAGGAGTCTCCGCTTATTTGCAGTTTCACTTTCTGTGGTTTAAATTGCCCGTGGTCAACTGCAATCCAAAAATAGATAAGTACTGTACAATAAGATATTTTGAGAAAGAGAGACCACATTCATTTAACTTTTATTTCATACATTGTTATAATTGTTTTACCTTATTATTAGTTATTGTTGTTAATCTCTTACTGTGCCTTGTTTATAAATTAAACTTTATCATAGGTATGCATGTATAGGAAAAAATATAGAGTTAAGTACTATCTGTGGTTTCAGGAATCCACCCAGGTCTTGGAACATATCCCCTGTGGATAAGAGGGACTACTATAACAAAGAATTTCATTAGAACTTAAGCAACTGTATTGACATTGTATAAATAGATTAGGGAAATATATATTCAACAGGATGAGCCAGCAAAGTCTCTAAGAACACACACCAGATGGATTTGCTCATGGTATTTCTCCCTCCTCAGTACAAATGTATAAGAATATTGCAGAATGTAAGGAACAATGACTTTGCCAACTTTTGCCTATGACAACAGAATAATATAAAATTCTTTATTTCCATAAGAAGAAAAAATTATTATATGGTGTTGGAGGGAATTTCAGGCCATATAGGGAGACTTTTCTGATGATCCCTCTAATAATAATATAAATAATCATTGCCCTATCGTTGGAAAGTTTGCTTATTTTCTGGTTTTCACTATTAAAATAATTCTGCAATGTAAATGCAATGAAAATGCAATTCTTCTTTAAAGTACTTTTTGTACATTAGTGGGTAAATTTGTAAAAGAAATTTCTAAAAGTGAAAATATTAAATCAAAAGCCATCACAAATTACCTTACAAGAAGTTTTATATCAGTTTACACCAGTATAAAATATATGGGGCAGTGAACATTCCCCTTCTTTTGATAACACTGGATTTTATCACATAGTTTTTCCCTAAAACCAATTTTGAAAAATAGTATTTCATTCTTCTTTTAATTCACATTTCCCTGTTAACAGTGACTGTCTGTTCATATATTTGTCATGTATATTTTTTATTCTGTGGCTTGCCTGCTCATATTCTTTCCCATTTTTTTCTTTTTGCATCTTTTTTCTTTTTATTTAGGATTCTTAAAAGTCTTTATGTATTTTCTACATTACTCTTTTGTCCACCACATGAACAACGATTTTTCCTGTACATTTCTTATATTTTAGTTTTCTTCTACTGCCATCCATCATTCCAGTTTTAAACACTTAAACCATTATCTGGTGCTTCCCCTTTCAGTAAAACAACCATGCATTCAGTTACTAAAACCGAAAACCTTGATGCCATCTTGACGCTCTTTTAAAATATTCCGTTTTACATCAGCAACTCCTGTTAAAACAGCACTCATATATTTCCCTATATTGATCCTTGCTACCACTGTCCCCTCTACCATGCCTTCTTCAGCCATCACCATCTTCTGCCTATACAACCGTATGGCCTTTAGACTGGCAGCTCTGTTTGCACTTGTACTCTCTACTCTCCATGTCTCAGCCAGTGACACATTTATTTTTGTTACCTTTTTATTATAAAATAATAAATAAAATACTGTAAAAATTATATTTTATTTGTACTATATATACATTTTAAATAACAAAAATGAATTAACGTATACACTCAGGTACCCACCAGCTAGCTTGAGGAATAGAATATTTCCAAAATATCTGAAGGCTCTGTGTGTCCCTTTTGTTTATATCATCATTTTTCCACCACAGAGGCAACTGCTATTCTGAGTTTTATGTTGGACATTGTTTTACTTTTCTTAAATGTTTTTCCATATGTATGTGCATTATTAAACAATATTTTTTTATTTTGCCTGATATTGAACTTGTTTCTATGAAACATATTGTGAAGTTTTTCATTGTTGGTGTTTACAGCTATAATTTATTCATTTAACTGGTATATATTATTCCATTGTAAGAATATGCTACAATCTGTTTATAGAGTATAGCATTTTGGTTCTGTTTATCTGTTTATTGATTGATTTCTCATTAGGAACAATGGTTCTATGGATATCCTTGCACATACTTCCTGATGTACATGTGTAAGAGTTTTTCTAGAATATTTAGGAATGGAAAGGTTATCAGGGATATACATCTTCAACTTACACCATATTTTGTGTATGCCATCCTTTCCCCACTGACTTTCAATGTCATCTGCATCATTTAACAATTTATATGTGCACATATCTGTCTCCAGTTTCCCCCCTCTGTTTTTTTGTTTCATTGTATTTTTCTGTGCCAATGACAATGCATCTTAGCTATTAAAGATTCTTAATAAATTTTGAAAATCTCTACATACTGTGGAGTATGTCTCCTCTTCTGGTTTTACTTTTGAGGGTCTTAGTTATTCTTGGCCCTTCGTTTGTTGGCATAAATTTTAGAAACAGCTTGTCATGTAACATGAAAAATTCTATTTGCTTTTTTGTTAAAATGTCATTGAATGTTTTCTTACTAATCATGAATGATCCATTTTTCCTTTCTTAGGTCTTTTCTCATTTTAGTAAACTTTATGATTTTCTTCCTAAAACCTTATATATATTTGGGTAGATATATTCCTAGTAAATTTCACCTTATGATTATTTTTTAATAAAATGCCACTGCATTTTGTATCTGATCTTATATTCAGCAAACTTTACATATTATATTATTTAATCTAATAATTATCTTTTAAATATTGTGAAGGATTTCTATATAGGTAAAAATGTCATCTGCAAATAATTATAGATCTTTCTTTGTTTCCAATCCTTATGTCTTTTTAAAATAGTTGCACTAGTTAGCTTTTTAAATACATATTAAATGAAATTTGTAATGGTAAGAGCTCTAATTTAAAAGGAAATGATTTGGCTGGGCGCGGTGGCTCACGCCTGTAATCCCAGCACTTTGGGAGGCCGAGGCGGGCGGATCACAAGGTCAGGAGATCGAGACCATCTTGGCTAACACGGTGAAACCCCGTCTCTACTAAAAATACAAAAAATTAGCCGGGCGCAGTGGCGGGCGCCTGTAGTCCCAGCTACTCGGGAGGCTGAGGCAGGAGAATGGCGTGAACCTGGGAGGCGGAGCTTGCAGTGAGCCAAGATTGTGCCACTGCAATCCGGCCTGGGCTAAAGAGAGGGACTCCGTCTCAAAAAAAAAAAAAAAAAGGAAATGATTTTGGTTATTAATTTTGAAATATGGTAGATGTGCTGTTTTTTATAGATGTCATTTATCAGAATAAGGAAGTTCCTTATAGTTCTATTTTTTGGTTTTCTTCTTAAATTATAAATATTTTTGATTTTTAATGATTTTTCTACATTTGTACAGATGATCATTTATTTTCCTCTAATCTGTTAATATGGTGAAATAAATTATTTGACTTCCCATTATTGATCTATTGTTGGGATGAAACAAACTTGTTGATTATATAGTAAATGTACTTTTTCCTTTTCTTTTTCTTTTTTTTTTTTGAGACAGGGTCTCACTGTTGCCTAGGCTGGAGTGCAGTCGCACAATCTCTGCTCACTGCAACCTCTGCTTCCTGGCTCAGGTGATCCTCCTACTTCAGCCTCCGGAGTAACTGAAACTACAGGCATGCGCCACCACACACAGATGTTATGTATTTCTTGTAGAGATGGGGTTTCACCATGTTGCCCAGGCTGGTCTCCAACTAGTGAGCTCAAGTGATCTGCCTGCCTTGGCCTCTCAAAGTGCTGGGATTACAGGCACGAGCCACTTTGCCCAGCTGTAAATGCATTTTGGAATTTAATTTTTTTCATTTTTATTTCTACAGTAATGAAAAATATTGATCTACAGTAGTTCTTTCTCATATCGTTCTTACTTAATTTTAGAATCAAGATTATACCAGCCTTTTAAAATGAGTCCAGGAGTATTGCATCTTCTATTTTCACACAATATCCTATAAATTAGAATAAGCTATTTCTTGAAAAGTTGGTAGAATTTGACTGGAAAAATTTTTAGTCTAGTATTTTCTTTGTGGAAAGTTTTTTTTAAACTGATTCAGTTTCTTTACTAAGACAGTTCAGACTTTCTGTTTATTCTTGAGACAATATTGTTAATTCTATTTAAGATGAATTTCTTTTCATTTAAATTTTCAAATATACTGACCTAAAATTGTCCATAAACCTCTTTTATTATTTATTATGTTTTAATTTTCCCTGAATTTATAATTATGTTCTCTCTCTCTTTTTTTTTTTGGAAACAAAGTTTTACTCTTTTTGCCCAGACTGGAGTGCAATGGTGTGATCTCAGCTCACTGCAACCTTCTCGTCCCGATTTCAAGTGATTCTCCTGCCTCAGCCTCCCGAGTAGCTGAAATTACAGGTGTGCACCACCATACCAGGCTAATTTTGCATTTTGGTTTTTTTTTGTTTTTTTTTTTTTAAGTAGAGACAGGGTTTCACCATGATGGCCAGGCTGGTCTCAAACTCCTGACCTCAGGTGATCTGCGCACCTTGGCTTCCCAAAGTGTTGGGATTATAGGAGCGAGTCACTGCACCTGGCCCATGTTCTCTTTTCTATTTTAATGTTTTCATCAGTTTTGCAAAATATTAAGCAATTTTATTAGTCTTAATATTAGCCAAATTTTGCTTGCCTATCATCTCCATTGTAGCTTTAAAATTTTATATTTCTTTAATTTTTTCTCATGTATATTAATTCTATATTTTCTTTTCAAATGTCTTATGTGCCTCATTAATTTTCAGCTTTATTTCTTTTCCAAAATTAGTTTACTTAAGAATAAAATTTTCCTAAGTATTGATTTAGTGGTATCCTAAAAAGTTAAAAGAAGTTTTATTATCATATAGTTCTAATTATTTTCTAGTTTCAATTACAATTTCATCTTTAACCCATAAATTATTAAGAAAAAAATTTTACTAAATATGTTGTTTTTAACTTATTTTTATTTCTTAACCTAATTGACTTGTAGCCCAAAAATACCAGTTTATGATATAGATTTTATTAAATGTGTCAAAAAAAATTTACATAGTTGATTGTCAGTTTTTTTTAATGTTCTGTATACTTAAAAAAAAATGTTCCCCAGTTGCTGGCTGTCGTGGTTCAATATATGCCAATTAAGTAAAATGAATTGATTGTGATTTAAAAAAATCTTTTCAAATCATTTTTGTTTTCCCTACTTCGTCAATTATTGACAGAAATGTGTACATTTTTCTCATTATCTTGACATATCCATCAATTTCTTCTTGAAGTCTATAAACATTTGCTTTATGTATTTTGCATCAATGTTATTAGGTTCACAAAGATTTAGAATTTTATCATCCTGTGAATTGAAACATTACAATGTAACTCTATCCTTAGGCCTTTTTGCTGTGAAGTCAATTTTGTCTGCACTGATTTAGGAGGTTAATACTTCCAGTATATATGTTTTTTCTTTTTTTTTTTTACTTTTTATGTTTATTTTCTATATAGCAATATTATTATAATTTCAATAGTGTAGTCAATACTTGTATAGCTTTATTGCCCAATTTCCTGATTTTCTTTGCTCATCATGCTTTTTTCAATCCTGCACATATTTTCTTGATCATTTTCTTTCCTTCTTAAGTAGATTCCTTGGAAATCATTTTTATAAAGCAGTTGTAATAAAATCCCTTTTTTAACAGGGTCTGAAAATATCTGTATTTCAATCTTGCTATTGAAAGATTGTTTGCCAGTACAGAATTCTACTTTGACAATTATTTTCTCTCGTATCTGAAAATAACATTCTTCCATCTGATATTATAGGCATTGATAAATTAGCTATCAGTCTAATTATATTTACTTTGTTTATGATATTTTTAAAAATTGATAGCTGCTCATAATACCTTTTTTCTTTTGTGTTTTGCATTTTTGCTATATTTCTTGGTATGGATTTCTTTTTAATTTTTCTCACTTAGGTTTCATTGGAGTTTCTGAATTTGCAAATTGAACTGTTTCTTCATTTCTGAAAAATTCTTAACCATTATCTTTTACTATTCTTTTCTTCTGGCACTACAGTTAGTCTTATATTAGCCCTTCAGTTAGTCTTATATTAGGCCTTCACATTGTTCTTCCATAATTTCTTTTTTATCTGTTTGTCTTTGTGTTGCCTCATAATTTTGTTAGTTGTGTTTTCTAGTTTACTTCCAGCACTTTCTCATCTGCCCTTAATCCATGATATTGTTTTTGTTAGTATATTTGTGTCCAACAGTTCTGTTTTGTTATGTTTCTTTCAAAACTACCTGCCAATTTTGTTACTCTTCTGGTTTCATCATGCTTTTATTGCTCCCCTTATTTGTTTATACATAGTAAGAATATTTACTTTATTTTAGTACTGGATAATTCCAATATCTTTTTTTTAAATTTGGCACAGATTCTGTAGTTTGGTTTTGTTATTGATGGTTGTAATGTTGGCTTTTTTCCTTACATCATAGTAAATGATCATTGTGAGCTCATATTTTTTGAAACTCTGGAAATTATTTGAATTCTGAGTTCTGTGTGTCTTCATTTATTTGCTTCAGCCTGGTGTATGGAAAAGTTAGAAACATGGTGATAAATTTTCAGCTTGTGCTTTTTTGGGCTCATTTGACTAGTATAAAATCAGAGTCAAACCTGTGTGAATGTGAGCTTGTAATCTCAATGAGTAATTATTTGTTTCTTTTGCCAAATTCAGGTCTTGGTCTTGACTCCATAGTCTCTCTTTTTGAGGGTTTATTTTCTGGCCAAGCCATTGAGTAAGCTACACTCCTGTGCCTCCAATGTTATCAGTGATCTCCAATTAGACTTCCTCAATTTTTTGTCCTGTCCTCAGCACACTCAGCTTGTTAAAGCCCAAACTCTAATCTACCAGAGATGGACAGCCAATTTGAGAGTAAGTGCAGCTCCAAAGCACAGAGTATAGATTTTTATTATTTCTGAAATTTGTAAATTTCTTTTACTTTGCACCTAGCTTTCTTTTTAAAAAAGTGTATTGTACCTGAATGTGTTTCTCTTTATATCTTTTCTGCCATTATGTTAGAAATGGAAGACACTGGTGATTCTTTAAAACATAAATTAGGTCATGTCACTCCATTATGACCCATCATAGTTAGAATGAAATTTAAAACCTTTCATCTTGTCTGTACAACTTTACATGGTTGGGCCTCTGGTTACTTCTCCTTCTCATTTCTTATGACTGTTACCCTTGTTCTCTGCACTTCAGCCTGTGTTTCTCTTCCACAATAGGACTGCTTGATCTTCCTCCAAAATACTAAACTCACACCAGTCTTGGGGTTTTAATCTGCTTTTCTCTTGAATTTGAATGCTTTCACCCAAACCGTGACTTGCTTCCTTAATTCATTCCAGACAGCTATTTTGTGTGCAAATGTCACCTTACATAATTTTCTCTATCTAATGTAATATAGCATCCTCTACCACTGTCCCTTTAACCTGGTTGTTATATTTTTATTCATTGTATTCATCACCATTTGCACACAAACACACACAGACGCACATTTCTGTTTCATATTAGAGTGTAAATTTTATGGAGCCAATACGGAATGCCTAGCACCAATTCCTGGCACAAAACAGTCATTCAATAATTACTTGCTGAATTAATAAGTGAATGTCTTCAATTATGTTGGTTTTATCTTCTGTGAATTCTTAGTATCTCATGTTAAGTTGGTCTGCTGTATTTTCTCCTTATTTATTTTATACTTTTATTTAGCAAACTTTTATTAAGTTCTTATGCTAAGTTAAACAGGCACATATATTATCTCATTAATCTGAAAACCAACTCTGCATTGTGGATTGCCATTCTTATTTCACAAATGAGGAATCTGAAGTTCGTGGAAGTCAATACATTCCCTGAAGTCATACATGGCCAGTATGAATTAAAATAAAAATTAATGCCAGTCCAAATTATACTTGTCTAACTCTATAGCTACACTCTTTACCAAATCAGTGCTTTGTATTTTTCTTCCCAATTGACCACTATGGTGGTGATCAGCTGATTTTAATGGAAAACTTGTGAAATTCAAATAAAGCCTGAAGTTTTGCTAATTTTTAAAAAATGAACTACTAATATAAGCAATGGCATAGATAAATCTCACAAAAAATGTTCTACGTGAAAAAAGTCAGACAAAGTACGTTCAAATGATTCCATTTACATGAAAGTCGGAAACAAGCAAAAACTACTTTAAAATGACAGAAGGCTGATGAGTGGTCACTTAGACTCAGAAAGTGGAGTGGTATTGACTGAAAATGGGCCTTTGATGAAATGTTTTGGTGAGAGTAAAATGCTCTCTAAAAGTGAGTGGCTTTCATTTTCAAAACTTTTAGACATGTATAATTAAATTAGATGTAAGTTATATCACATAAATTATACCTTAATAAAGTTGTTTTTTTTTCCCAGAAAAATAAATATGGGCTGAGTGTAGTGGCTAATGCCTGTAATTCCAGCACGTTGGGAAGCTGAAACAGGCAGCTCCCTTGAGTCCAGGAGTTGAGGCCAGCCTAGGCAACATGGTGAAACCCCACCTCTACTAAAAATACAAAAAATTAGCCTGGCGTGCTGGCACAGGCCTGTAGCCCCAGCTACTTGGGAGTTTGTGGCCACAGTAATGATTGTGCCACTGCACTCCAGCCTGGGCTATAGAGTGAGACTCTGTCCTCAAAAAAAGAAAAAAATACGTGTGTGTGTGTGTGTGTGTGTGTGTATATATACTTAAACCAAATGTTTCTGAATTATGGAACTATTTTCTTGAGTTATTGTAGTCAACATGTTATATTTTACAAATATCAGACCTTTTAGGGCAGCAGACAGGAAGTCAGGACTCCTGATTTCATCATTGAATAACAGGTACTTCTCTGTGTTCTGGCTTTGGTTTTATCATCTATAAAGCTAAGAGGCTCTCCCACAGTCACCAAGGTTCCTATCAGCTCTGAAGTATTTGAATACAGTGTTGTAAAGATTATTTTGTTTTGTGTTTCAAGTACTTTTAGAGAATTGTTGGGTTTCTAATCTCTATTCCACAGTTAATCAAACAACTTAGCCAACAATCCAGAGAGACAGACAGAAGTATGAACATGTGAGGGTGCCTATAATCTAGAGAGCAGTCTAGCTTGACTAGAGTTTAATGTTTTAAATGTTTTTTGAGGTGTGTGTGCATGTGTGTGTGTGTCTGTGTGTATATATATTCAGAATTTAGAGTAGCTTAAATGCACTTTTTTAGGTACTATGGGCAGACAAAGAATTTAGCTATCCTCAAGATAACGATATGATAATTTTCATCATGATAGATTGTATCTCCAAAGTCATATACATAAGACATACAGTTATACACAAGAAAGCAAATGTGTGGCTGTGTAGAATTAGATAATTAAGATAGAAGAGTCTACAAGTCAACAAATATAGTCTTAGTACACTAAGTGCAGTTAATACACTTCCCTGTGTTGAGGGAAGGTGGGAAAGTACCTTCTGTGACCTTCAGGAATTTTTTATACAGTGAATAGAGGAGATAGGACATATTTCTAATACATCACTCCGGAATAAGTGTAATAGTAAAGACAGAAAAAAGTCTCATGGGAGTGTAGGGAAGAAAAATAATTTGTAGGACATCTGGGAAGCTTCCTAAAATATTAATTATTTACACTGGACCTTAAGGAATGAGGAAACCTTTCAGAAATAACGGTAAGAAACAGGGTCATTTCAGTGCAAGTATTAATCTGGAGACTGAGAGGTCAGTAGGAGAGTCTCCAGTGGGGTTCAAACAATGAGTCTGAAGCAGCTTAGGTCATGATCCCAGCACTCCTGTGATGTGCCTTAGAAGACATTTTGCACAACAAAGCACAAGATTTCTTACAAGGAATTTTTATACAAGTGTAGGATATGGGTCTTGTATAAACACTTTTATGTTAGTTTTGTGAGATATTAGAAATCTCCATATAAATAAGCCACATTTCCTAGATCAAACTTACTTCTATTGCAAGGAGAAATGAATGTATTCCAGCAGATGCAAAGTTGCACTATCTCACTTGGAAATATTTGCAGCTACATCTACTCTTACTGACATAGTTACTTGGCATTTGTTTGGATTCCTAGTCTGCAACAATTTGAGAGAATTCCAATGAAACGTCAGCATTCCCTGGAACTGAGGTGATTTGAACGAATCTTTCAAAGATGTGCATTGAGTTGAAGTTTAGAAAGAAAAAAGAGGAGGCAAGGATTGGTATGTTTATCAAATTCACATCCAAGTGTTATTTCACATCAGCGATACTTTTGAAAAATGATTTGCACTTTTAATAGATCCCTCATCCTTTTGCTCTTGTCATTTCAAGAGATTTTTCAGTGGAGACTTGTCACAAAGTTCTTAATCAGTTTTGAAAAGTTTTAGCTGATGGTCACCTGTGTGTGTTTGTCTAAAACAGCTTGCCTAAAAGGCAAATTCTGAGGCAGCGTAGCGTGGTGACAACATGCCTACTTTCAGATGAAGCAGTCTCCAAATCAACTCAGCCTTTCTGCTTCCTGGCTCCGGGACTCGATAGTCATTGTAATTTCCATCTCCACCTGGGTAAGAGGAGGTCAATAATTTATCCTCTAAACACAATCATGAGAGTTAATGATGTGAGTTAATGTTAGCAGCCTGAGTTTCTGATTCATAGCAGAGCTCCTTTTGTTCCCGTGGCATGGCCTTCTCTATTCCTGACCACATACATGCTTTTGCTCTGCCTCATCTTGTCCCAGCCTAGCTTTGGTCACTGAGCCTTTACCATTCATTGAAAATACATTTCACCCAACTGCTCCAGAGATATTGCAAATACCTATCTTCCTGAAAAATACATACTCTTTCTTCATAGCACTCATCGCAGCTGTCAATTTGTATTTACTTGTGTGATTATGGGTTGGTAAACTTCACTAGGGTAGGAATCAGGTCTGTTTTTCTCTTCATTGCTCCACCTGTCTCTACTTCTTGCCTGGCACTTAGGAATCTCAGAAAATACTTTAATTTATAACTGAATGAAGTGGAGAAACAGAGCTCTTAAATCCTAATATAAGATATTTCAAAACTTTTGTGGACAGAGTCAGCATTGCTGAATAGATAGGATGCTGTCTTTGGAGTCAGATGAATCTGGGTTCCGTTCTGCCAGTCAATGAACCAATTATCTTTAGACAACCTCTCTGAAACTCAGTTTCTACCTCTGAAAAATGGGGCTAAAATATTCAGCGTAGGGTTTTGTCTTTTGAGTATTAAGTAGGATAATGTAAATGAAAGACCTATTCTAGTACATGTTTGTGGTATTCAGATAATAAATGATAGTGTTAAATACAGATAGTAACAATTATAACAATAATACCAGACATTAAATAAATAATTTTCCATATCATGTATAAAATCTTCATTCTATGTTAAATGAAGTCTGCTTATAATCATTAAAATTTAATATGGGGCAATGGCATTTTTTTCCTCTAGAGCAGCTAAAAAGAATGGCAGCAGCATTTTTATCTGAATAATTCAAGAGAATGCAGCCTAGGAGTATGCTTTGAACAAGTTACCAGTAGAGCCAATGAGTAAAACACCTTAGTAGTTGACAGAGCATGATGTCTTAAGGATTTTTGGAGTAAAGAGTATTTGAAGAAAATAACTGAGTTATTAATTTATTGTGAAAGACACAAGTATTAACTCCATTTTACTAAAGATGCTTCTGATAAATGGAAAGGCAGATTGGAAATGCATTTGAGAGCTGAAGACAGACCTGTTCCTTCTCCATATGATCCTGCTTTATGTAGGTTTATGAAGCTTCAAGTGCTTAGAACGGATTAATCTATTTGATACTTTTGTCCCTATATCAGAGTCTCTTGTGTAAGAAGGAGCTGTTGATCAATTTTCTCCTTCTGCTGACTTGCATCATCACAGGTGGAGTGCTGTGGCTGAAAAAGGGGGCCTTTGAAATTTATAAATAAGTCCAAGAGAATTTTTAATAACAGAAAGGCTGTGGGCTGGGCAGGATATCACTAGCAGAAAGCATCATTTAAAAGCTACATGGGAAATCTTTGGTCATGTTGTGGCTTTGGGTTACCCATACAAGAGGTGGAACATGCATGGAACACGAGTTGGTGACTAACTCCCTAATGAGGAAAAACACTCATTGTGGAAAAGCTGCAGGCCAGAGAACCCTTTAATACTACTTGGTATGCAGCATGCTTTGCAGTCTTCCAATGGCAGAGGAGCCACTTTAGAATTTATTATATACATTAATTTGATTGTACAGTGATGTATTTGTTAGACAAATTACCACAGGTCTAATTAAAGGCGGTCCTAAAGCCACCTGATTACTGATTTACATTACATTTATTTGATTCCAATGTATTTGTGGAGATAAATTAGATGTAATTTCCAGGTAATAAAACTTAAGTGGTGTAAAATCTCAAGGTTACTAGATAAAAAATGAATTGAGAACCTCAGCCACATCAGTGAATAACGTGAGCCACTGAATGAGGTATTGTGTATCAGTATTATCATATGCAATGTAGGGGAGTCAGAAGACTGCTTCTTTTTTCTTTCTATTTTTAGTCGACACAATAATTGTACACGTTTTTGGGATTTATTGTATGTTTTCAAAGGCTAGAAAAGAGGATTTTGAATGTCCACAACACAAAGAAGATTCTTTTAAATTTATTTATGTTGTTGATTTGTGGGGCCCTCCAGGTAGAGGCCACAGTTTCTTCATCCGAAAATCAGTTGTTTGGATTTACTCACCATGGTTGCTTTTAGGAAAACTAGTAAGATGGGAAGACATTCAGTTTTCAATGATGTGCAGTGAATGATAGATGATGGAAACTATTTCTCGTGATGATGTTGTGTACTGTAGGCTATCCTGAGCCCAAGAAGAAACAATCCATGACATCAGAATGTGGGTGTTTCTGTGTTGTTTATCCTGTAACCTGCATGTGAAGACAATATGTATGTATATGAATTATAATTTGTCATAGTACCAGTGAACATCTGGCCAAAATATGTTATTAACTCCAAGCCAATGATTATACTTAGTAGGAAAAAAACCCTACTACTTATATATCTGAAAACAGATTCATTTCCAGTTATTCCAGATTTAATAATCCTTAGATTCTAATACTAAATACTCTTTATTTGAAGTTAGAAAGCTGGCTTTGGTGGACAGATGGATATCTCTCAATATTTGCTGTCTTTTTTTCATTTTGGCCCATTAGTGAAGTTTACCTCTTCACTTCTTTTAATTCTGTGACACTAATAGTTTTAAACTAATCTACTAGAACAGGACAGATTTTTAGAATCCTAACCCACTGGTCCGTGAAGGGGTGCATGGAAATGGAATCAGGAAGAGGCCTGGATTAGAAGAAGGTAGATGGTGACAGTTAGGAGCTCTAGAAACAGGAGCCCATCCTGGGGAACTGATTCACTGTTGGGAATGGGAATGTGTGCAATGTCCCTGTCCATGGCCCTTTTCCTTCTCTCAAATTGTGTATGTGTGTGTGTGTGTTTGTGGGGGTGGGGGGGTGCGTGTGCACACGTGTGCATGTGTGTGTTCGTGTGTGCGTAAGTTACTAACCCAAGGTTCTTATGGAGGACTTTTTTCCTCATTTTATTTTACCTATGGTGGTGGGAGCCCTAGGTGTATGGGAAGTCCTATGCTTGCTGATTTTGCCATCTGACATTTGAGCAAAAAATGACTTTCCTTATTTTTTTATTAAAGATGTCTTTTTATTCTTATATCTCTTTCCCATCAGAACCTCCAGGCTAATTATATGCATGAAAGAAGATTCTTCCTGTGTCAGTGGTTAAATATACCTTTGTTTTTTGTTTCTAGTAAATTATGCTTCTTGAGCTTCTTTTTAATCCATTATAAACACCCACCTTCATAATATATTTATTCCTTCTCAAAAATGGCACTTCTATTTTTTGCACATTAAGCTTCTTTTAAAAGAATTATTTTTTCATATCCTCCCGTTTTTATCATTGATTTCTGTTTCATTTCAATCATTGGCTTTGTTCTTTCTTCTTGGATGGGACCTGGCTTGTGACATATAAAGCAAATTCAGTAAATGCAGTTTAAGGTGGAAAGCTGAGATAAGCTTGACTGCAAGTGTCTAAGATCCTATTTTATTTATTACACTTTCTAAAGGTAGATTAGAATTGAAAACATTATCATTAGAATCATTCTGGGCTTACAGTCATACAGTTATCAACTTGAGAACCCAATCCTGGGGCTTTAAATTTTTAGATACATAACTTAAGGTATATTCGACCATCTCAGGAAAGAATGAGAAAGACATAAGAAGTGTATTTCTGTTCTTGCCGTCATATCCCTACAGCTGTGCATAATCTCTGTGTTACAGTTTCTTCAATAATAAAGACACTGAAACTCAATAATTCATATAATCTCTTCTAGTTCTAAAAAAAGATAGTTGGATTAATGCTTTGAGCTTATCACTTTATTTTTCAGTTTCTACTGAAGATATTTTTGCAATGAAGAATTAAATAAATATTTCCTAATTAAATAAGGGTATATGTTTTACCCATACTTCCAAATGTAATACAAATGTAAGACCTCTTGCTAATTAATAACCAAAACATGGAAGATGAGTGAAGATGAATTAAAACATTGTGTTGATTGAAATGGCAAATGTTTAAAAATAATTGCTATAGTTTGGATATTTGCCCCCACACAAATCTCATGTTGCATTGTAATCCCCAGTGCTAGAGGTGGGGCCTGGTGGGAGGTGTTTGGCTCTTGGAGGCAGATCCCTCATGACTTGGTGCCATCTTCGCAATAGTGAGTGAGTTCTCATGAGATCTGGCCCTTTAAAAGTGTGTGGCCACCACTCCTTTGCTTGCTCCTGCATTCACCATGTGATGTGCCTGTTCCCCTTTTGGCTTCTGCCATGATTGGAAGCTTCCTGAGGCTTCTCCAGAAGTGGATGCTGCTATGCTTCCTGTACAGCCTGCAGAACAATGAGGCAACTAAATCTCATTTTGTATAAATTACCCAGTCTCAGGCATTTCTTTATAGAAATGCAAGAATGGTCTAATACAATAGTTATTTACAGTGTTATTTTCTTGTTACAATTACATTCATGTGGAAATTTTGGCTGAATCTTGGCTTGACAAGCAAGAAGAATAGTGGTGGTCAACATGTAATAAATAAGATATTTTAATTTGCTACTGGCTACTTATGAGTAATTGCTGTCCTAACTAATGAAGAGGAGAAAAACTTTTAAAATACCTTTTGTGCTTTGGTTTATAAGCAACATTTTAGTCTTGATCATTGCATATATGTTTGTAGCATGCTTCATTGAGTGCTTTTTCTTATTAGACATGATATAGAAGCATGATATCACAGATGGATGGACACAACATTCGGAATTAAGACCTTGCCTACCATGAGCTATGTAAACTTGAGAAAGTCATTTGACTTCTCTGAACTCCAATTTATTTATAAAATAAAGGAATTTGATTAGATGGCTGAAATTATTTATTGCTTTATGAAACAGTTAAGTCTATTTCTCCTTTAATGTAACCATTTGATATTATTTATTCACTTTGTCTCTGCTTGCATTTTTGTTTCATGATAACTTTTGAAGGAGATGAGTTAGTGAACATTGAAGTATTCCTTAAGTGTGCCAAGAATTTCCCTAGATTCCATTGTAGTATAGACTCTATTCTTGACTCTAAATTAAAATTGAGTAGTTTTTTCTAAGATTTTTTTGTATTCTTAAATTGGCTTTTAACCTATTTGAATAATAATTTTTGAATCATAACTTTGTGTCAGGCGGTAAAAAATAAGCAGTCATGTTAGCATTAGTTTAGACTCAACACATTCCCCTCAAAAGTAAACTTCTTTCAAATACTGGAAAAAATGATTTGGGGTTAAATATTATATTTCATACAAGGGCAAATTTAATAATGTTGATAATCAAAACATAAATTCATGATATAATGTTTTCCATCTTGTTTCCATATGCAACGTGTTTAAAATAGCTACTTAGATGTGATAGGTTTGGCTTACGTAGAAATCTATCTTTCCATTACAGAAGCTAATGATAATGATCACAAATATTTTACTAAATTGATCATAAACATCTGTACTCATTTAATTCTCATAGCAATCCTCTTAGGTAAGTTCTAAAAGTTTTCTAAATTTACAAATGGAGAGATTTAAGAAACTCATATGCAGTCTGCAAAAAGAACCATGGACTTATAATGAGGTATATAGTATAGGGTGTTGAGATAAATAACCTAACAAATAGCTGAAGGGATTTAAATATGTATTTCTATTATGCAAGTTAGGTTATAAGTGACAAGAAAATAGGGAAATTATGTCAAAATACAAATGGGAAAGTACGGTTGGCTCCTAAGTGCTTTTGCCTAGTGTAGAAACATGTTTGAAACATGCAGAAACAAGCTTTTATAAAGAGAAAATGTTAGCAATATGCAGAGGTGATGGGTATTTTGTGGTTTCCAGATCTGCCAAGTTTTCTCCAAAGTTAAGCTGTTTGGTGAAGCTGCTTTGAGTGAAGCTCATAGAAACTCCAAAGAGGGAGAGAGAGGGAGAGAGAAACGAAAAATAAAAGCTGCAACTTGAGGCCAGTTTTCACTTTTATCCAAACAAGATTGTATTTGAAGCAAATACATTCAAGGATCTGTATCTCCAAGAAGGATCAACTGACCAAGATGCAGGATGCAAATTTCTGTGGATATTTGTGCAAATCTTTTTTTGGTATTGTTATTGCTTTTGTTAGTTTTATCATAAGCCTTATTAGTTTTAGTGCACAATACAGAATACAACCATCACAGTAGAAATGTCCTCACTCAGTCTCTCTGTTGCATTCGTATTCATGATCGCTTAGCTCAGCTATAAATGTCATGTTAATGAGGTTATGAACTACTTTAGGGCTTCACACTATTCCATGACTGTGGTCCGTACTTCAGTTCTCTGATAAAATTAGGAGGAAAAAGAAGAATATAGACAAATTAGTACAAATTAGTTATCACTAATAGAAAACTATTTTAAGAATTAGTAACTTGAAAGAGAATTTACATTGTAAGAAACATTTAGATCAAGTGAAGTGCCTTTTTTAAATTAAAACTAATGTAACAACATCAATTTTTTAAAAAAGTCATCAATATTGTCCCCACCATAACAAAACTATTTTTATTTTGAAGTATTACATCCAGACTTTGTTGTCTCACTCATTCAAAAACATAAACTTAAAACTAGTTGTAGTTATGACATATGCATAATATCGACATCTGTGTTTTCACTTGTTTGATCATTTACTCTTTTTTTTGACTTACAAAGAGTCTCACAATGTATCAGCAACATGATTTATAAAGCCTCTTCTACTCTTTAGTATTTGAAATGTTTCAATTTTTTAAATATTCTATATAATGAAGTAAACATCTTGATCCAGTTAAAATCATTTTCTTACAATATGATAAAAGCAAGTTTATTGGAAACATAAGTATCAAATTATTTATGACAGCTGATACATACACACACACATGCACCCATATATCTCACACATTACTACAATATAGTAAGTCCTCACTTTGTTGATAGGTTCTTGAATACTACTGCTTTAAGCAAAAGGACATGTAGCATGTCCTGGAATAGAGTTGTTTCATTCAATGCATTTTTTTTATAATGTAGATGACAAAACAAATGTTTTTGTTATATGTCATTCTGATTAAAGTTGCAATTTCCAAGAAACTACTGAACATATATTTTCATATTACTTTCCATATGGGTAAAAAAGCTTATTCCACCAGCAGTATCTAAATATACCATTCTTATCACAATTTTCTGAGCATTTATTTGATCTTTTAAAATTTGGTGAGAGGTATAAAATAATTTTTCAATATTATTTTATTTGCATTTTCTTAATAAATGTTGGACATATTCCTGTGGGAATTGTCCATTGCTTATTTACTGGAAACATACTTTTTAAAACCTTTTTAAACAGATTATTGAGGTATAACTGACGTATATTTACAGTATATAATTTCATAAGATTTGATATATGTATACACTTGTGAAGCCATCATTGCACTAAAGACAATAAACATACCCTCTTGAATTTCTGAAAATGTTTGTTTAGTTTGCCAGTAATTCATCAGGCCTGGAAATGTCTTTGTGGGAAGATTTTAAACTACAAACTTAAAATTTGAAAACGGATATTGGGTTATTCAGATAATTTTTTTATTTTGAATGAGCCTTGGTAGTTTGTGTCTTTGAAAATTTTTTCCATTTCATCTCAGTTGTCAAATTTATTGGGTTAGAGTTGTCCATAATATTCCCTCATTAGCGTTTTAATACCTCTAGAATATATAGTCCTATAACTTCTCTCACTTCTGGTGTTGGTAATTTATGTCTTCTTTCTTTTTTCCATGGCCAGTCTAGCCAAAAATCGATCAATTTTATTAATCATTTCTAAGAATCAGTTTTTGGTTTCATTGATTTTCTCTATACATTTTCCATTTTCTCTTTCTTTAGTGTCTGTCCTCATTTTTATTATTTACTTTCTCCTACTTAATTTGAATTTAATTTTTGACTTGATGCCAGACATTAAATATTTTATCTTGTTGAATATTATATACATTTTAAGTCTGTAAATATTTTTGAACTTTGGTTTGGACACAGTCAAAGTACTTGGAAATGGTTTTGTTCTGTTAAGAATTGCTTTTAAGCTTTGTCAGGCAGAATCAGAGCAGCCTGTACTCAAGGGCTAATATTTCCTCCTACCGAGGCAATATATTTTGAATCCTTTACTGAAAGTCCTGTTAATTTCAAGGTTTTTCTTTACTCACTGGTAGGAACACAAACTAGTCCCAGCTTTGTATTATTCCCATGGATTGTACCCATGAATCCTTTGAGGTTGCTCTTTCCCTGGCCTCAGGTAATTTCCCCACATACATGTTTTAAAAAGCATCAACTGATTAGTGAGCTGAATATGGGAACCCTCTGCAGACCTTCAGATCTCAGTATCTCTCTCTCTCTCCCTCTCTTTTTCTCTTTCTCTCTCTCTGTCTCCAGCTCTGTCTCTGTCTCTCCTGCTATTTGTTACTGTGCTTTGCAAATATGACTGGCTGCCTTTGCCTCTCCAGACTACCAACTCTGTGTCCTCAACTCAGGGATCTTTTGAATCTATTTCTGTTGACTTTTCAGAAGTGATTTTACCTGCTTTTCTACCATAATTAGTTTCCTCATTTACCTATTTATTTTTGCATAATAGACAATGTCTCAAGAAGATAATTTATAGAAAATAATCAGGAGCTCAGGATGACTTATCATCCTTTAAAGAAGATTTTTATTGCTTCTACTGGGTACCTGAGGTCACTATTAGACCACATAACTTGAAACTGTGCTTTGAGCATGAGGTTTCCTGTTCTACTCAGATGATCTGACTGCAGTCTGTACAAGAGCAGTTCCTTCTTTCCTCCTCATACTGCTGTGTGGCTCTTTGGACCCGACCTCAAACCAGACAGTGAAGTGTAGCAGGATTACATTGTTTATTGGTCCTGAATGCTGACTTTTGCCACCCAAGACTTGCGATGATGTTAAAAATCCCTGAAATAAAAAGCAGCTCAGCTTTTAGTGGTGAGCAATTATGATTAGATAATATCCCAGAGCAAAATATTCCCAATTGTCATGTTAAAATCACTGGATTCACATTCTTCCCAGTGCGTCGGCCTTTTAATTCTTTCTCATCGAGCTATTTGTTTTCAGAAGATGATCGTTACAGTTCATTCAGTGTCGTAATGTTCAACAGAAAAGTTTTTCTGAAACATTTAGTCCGTTGATTTCAGAAATGAAAGTCATGATATTTTTTCCTTTAAATGTCAGTAAGCAGTGTGTTGCAGCTATCATGTCACTGTCTTAAATGTTAAATGTAGTATTACTTTGAATCTTCTAAATTACCACAATATTAAATATTAAGTAGTACATTAAACAGTTATGACAACTAAAAATGTCTCCAGAATTTGCCAAATATCCCATGGGGAGCAAAATTACTCCTAGTGAGAACCATTGCTACTGGAAGCAGGAAGGCATTTTCCAGGCTTTGCAGTCCATGCTCATAACCATGATACTGCACTGTCTACTTGGTACTTTCTGCCCTAGGGAATACACTCGTTTCCACTGTCTATCTCCCTGCTTATTTCTCAGACAAAAAATTATTTTACAGACAAAAAGCTATAATTAAACTGAATTATTTCTTTTTCTTCTCTGTATTTTACCCTTCTTTCCTTCCTTCCTTTCTTTTCTTTCTCTTTCTTTCTTTCTTTTTTTTTGAGAGAGTCCCGCTCTGTCACCAGGCTGGAATGCAGTGGCACAATCTCAGCTCACTGCATCCTCTGCCTCCAGCGTTCAAGCGATTCTCCTGCCTCAGACTCCCAAGTAGCTGGGACTACAGGTGCGCACCACCACACCCAGCTAATTTTTGTATTTTTAGTAGAGACGGGGTTTCACCATACTGGACAGGATGGTCTCGATCTCTTGACTTCGTGATCCGCCCGCATTAGCTTTCCAAAGGGCTGAGATTACAGGTGTGAGCCACTGTGCCTGGACCTGTATTTTACCTTTTCTACATGTCATTGTGTTCCCTTTCCTTACAATTCACTTATTTCTTGTCCTAATACCTGCCCTGTCCATCCTGTCCAGTTTAAGTGCCATGTACTTTCTAAAGCCTTTCCTCATCATCTCATGTGCATTTCTCTGTCCTTTGAATGCGGTTTCTCCCGAGTGTGTGAGTTATATATATATAAAGATATATCATGAGAGATGTGAGGACAAAATAATTCATTGTATTCATGTATTGTCTTCTAAAAATACAGGAGAGTTCCTTGCGTCCAGTACGGACTAAGTAAACATTTGTTACATGAGTTAATTGTTGTTTTGTGAGAGGAGAAACTTATTGTCTTTCCTAAACTTCTTCTAGAAAGGAATTGCTTCTTAGATTCCATTGTGGATTCGTTATAAATTTATCATCCAAGAATTTAACTGAATTATACCCTTCCTAAGTTACTATTGCTGTGAACTACAAATTCTTGAAGCATTATGTCCCATAGATGGACTAGTTAACATTTTGCTTCCAGTTATTTGTCTGAAAAATGAGCTGCTTTCTTTCTTTACTCTTGATTTTTTTGAATAATTTTAGGAGTTGGGTTGTTTGCACAAAATTTGATTTTGTCTGCCAGTGTTGACATATTCATTAATTTTAGAATCTATGAGAATTCTATAACTAATTAAAATTAAACCTGAAAATAAATATACTTAATTTTTGTTCCGTTTTCCTTGTGACACAATTGTTTTTTATGTATTATTTTATTAATTCAGAAATAAAAGCAAATTATAGCCATATTTCAGAAGGAATCATCTACTAGTGCCTTACAGTAGTCCATAAAAATAAAAATGATTGAAAAAATGATTATATAGGTTTTGGAAACTTTATGGTATATCCTGCTCTTGTAAAGTCATAATTTACTATAACATATTAAAGGTTGTAAGAAATCCTACAGCAAAAATTAATTAATTAATGAGATATTGGTTCAACCTCATTTAATCCAGTGTTTCCAAACAGTAGAGTTAAGTGGTTGAGCATTGAGGTCCTGGAGCCAGATGACCTGCTCTCACATTCCAGCTCTCACACTTTGTAGCTGTGTAAAGTTGGGTGAATTTCCCAACTTTTTGGTTGGGAAAAAAAGAGGTAATGCTGGAACTGTAGTGTTATGAGGATTAAATGAAATAATACTTGTACTTAGAATACAACCTTGCCCTCTGAAAACCCTCAGTCTATATTTACTATTATAATCATTTATGTATGACCAGGATTTATTTATTTATTTTGGAGAAAGAACTATTGGTATCACTGTGGTATACAAACTTTGGCAGGACTGTTACAGAGATTTTGATGCAGTAGCCAATAGAAAGAAGTCGGCCCAGATAAATTACTTCCTGTCTCTGAGTACTTACCTGGGGGAAAGATAACTAACCTAAGCAGGAAACAGTTAATGCCCATATGTGACTGGAAGCAAGTTGTAAACTCAGAATTGCGGAGCTGAGTTTTCATCTACCCCTATGTACACTGAGAAACATAACAATTCTATGTCCAGAGAGAAGAATAAGGCATGAAGATGAGAAAAAGTAAAGAAGTTAACACCCCTCACCCACACAAAACACAGATACACACAATTACACATGAGCACGTGCATGTGCACACACACACACACACACCAACCCACACGTTAAAACAGATGTGCAGAAATCCACACTTGTTCACATTAAGTCATACCCACAACCGTAGAGCACTGTGGAGATTCCTGCAGGCTTCCCTATTCCAAGTCCAGGACTCTCAGAAGGCCTGGCACCTTGAGTTCTCTAAGCCACTTAAGAATACTTCCATTAAGCCCCCTTTTGGCTTATTTTAGCTCATCTTGGTTTATCTTATTAGCATTTTTTTCAGAAATACCTCAATCACAAATTTTATTGCAACAGAAGAACTTGGTAAAACCTCACATTCTTCTCAAATTTCAAAAGTAGAGATCAATAAATCAATATAAACTTGAGATTTCTTATAACTGGATTAAACAAATGGTTTTAGTTTAAAAAAACTTATCTTTACCCCACAAGCACAGGCAACCAACGCAAAAATGGACAAATAGAATCACATTAAGTTAAAAGTTTCTTCACAGTGAATGAAACAAAGTGAAGAGACAATCCACAGAATGGGGGAAAATATTTGCAAACCACCCATCTGACAACGGATTAAAAACCAGAATATATTAGAAATTCAAACAACTCTGTAGGAGTTGTAACTCCTACAGAGCAGCAATAACAAATGCTGATGAGGATATGGAGAGAAGGAAACCCTCATGCACTGTTGGTGGGAATGTAAATTAGTACAACCACTATGGGGAACACTTTGGAGGTTCCTCAAAAAACTGAAAATAGAGCTACTCTGTGATTCCCTTTGCTAGGTATACACCCAAAAGAAAGGAAATCAGTATACTGGAGAGATATCTACACCCCCATGTTTATTAGAGCACTATTCACAATAGCCAAGATTTGTTTGTTTTTTCTTTATCTATTATTTTTTTAGACAGGGTCACATTCTGTCACCCAGGTTGGAGTGCTGTGGCATGATCACATCCCACTGCAGCCTCGACCTCTGAAATTGATCCACTCACCTCAGCCTCTGGAGTAGCTGGGACTACAGGCATTCACCACTATGCCTGGCTAATTTTTTTTATTTTATTATTTATTTATTTATTTTATTATTATTATTATTATTATTTTCTTTGGTAGAGACGGGGTTTGTCATGTTGCCCAGGCTGGCCTCAAGTTTCTGAGCTCAAGTAGTCCATCTGCCTTGGCCTCTCAAAGTGCTGGGATTATAGGCATGAGCCACTATGCCAGGCCCACAATAGCCAAGATTTGGAAGCAACCTAAGCATTCATCAACAGATGAATGGATAAAGAAAATGGGGTACATATACACAATGAAGTACTATTCAACCATAAGACAGAAGGAGATCTTGTTATTTGCAAAAACATGGGTGGAATTGGAGACCATTATGTTAAATGAAATAAGCCAGGCACAGAAGACAAACTTTGCATATTCTCACTTATTTGTGGGAGCTAAAAATTAAAATAATTGAACTCATGGATGGTTACCAGAGGCTAGGAAGAGTGGAGGGGTCTGGGGAGGGCAAGTGGGGATGGTTAATGGGTACAAAATACAGAAAGAATAAGAATTAGTATTTGCTAGCACAACAGAGTGACTATAGTAAAAATAATTTAATTGTACAATTAAAAATAACTAAAAGATTACACAATTGGCTGGGTGCGGTGGCTCACGCCTGTAATCCCAGCACTTTGGGAGGCCGAGGCGGGCGGATCACGAAGTCAGGAGATCGAGACCATCCTGGCTAACACGGTGAAACACCGTCTCTACTAAAAATGCAAAAAAATTAGCCGGGCATCGTGGCGGGCGCCTGTAGTCCCAGCTACTCTGGAGGCTGAGGCAGGAGAATGGCGTGAACCCGGGAGGCGGAGCTTGCAGTGAGCTGAGATCGCGCCACTGCACTCCAGCCTGGGTGACAGAGCGAGACTCCGCCTCAAAAAAAAAAAAAAAAAAAAAAGATTACACAATTGGATTGTTTGTAACACAAAAGATAAATACTTGAGGTGATGAATACCCTATTTACCTTGATGTGATTATTACACATTGCATGCCTCTATCAAAATATCTCATGTATTCCGTAAATACATACACTTACTACGGACCCACAGAAATTAAAAGTTTTAAAAATCCTTTATTTAGAGGTGTAGATAGAAACATGACACACTTATGTATCATGTATAAAAGTTGGAAATAAGAAAATAACTTTAGTAACAAAACTAAAGATAGTGTCAACAGAGATTATTAATGTGCTTGCTTAACTATTTTAATGAAATCGTGAATTTTTTATTTTACTTTAAAATTTTATAAATAAATTAATGATTTGGCTCATAAGGACATAATTAGAAAATTTTGACTGATTGATACAAATTAAATAAGAAGATTCTGAGGTGAATTTTGTGAGTTAGAAAACTCACATGAAATCACATTTCCAGCAAAACTGGAAATATTTTGCCATCAAATTAAGTGACTATAAATAAAGCATCTCTTATTAAATAATCCAAGCATGAATCCATAGGTGATTAATTGCAAAAAGCTGTATAAAGTTTTCTGAATAATTCAGGTGAAATAAATGTTGTATCATAAAATCAATGTATTCTCCTACTTTTAGGTAGAATAAAGATTTTCATTTGCATATTTCCTGTTATTAAGTAACTATTGAGGGTCTAGGGTGCCAATATTGGAGAATTTTAGGTTTCAGACTTGTTGAAAATTATCTTATTGTGTCTTAATTCATTGGGAACTCTAAACAATGATTCTACGGTTTTTCTAAGACACCTGGTGGGAAGTACGTTAACATTTTTATTTCTAGATCTGATTGAAGATATAACATTTGCTGATTGACCATTTTAGAAAGTAGACTTAAATGAGACCAGGCATGGTCCTATACTCCTGTAGTCCCAGCTATTCATTAGGCTGAGATTGGAAGATCCCTTGAGCCCAGATTTTAAGGTCCGCCTGGGCAAAATAGCAAGACCTCACCTATAATAAATAAATAAATAAATAAGTCGATTTGAATGACTACTTTACAAGCTGTAAAGTTGTAAAATTCCTTACAATTGAAATGTGGATCCTCTTCAGCGTCTGTGGTTTCCTGACTTTTTAAAGATGGCCATTCTAACTGGTGTGAGATAGTATCTCATTGTGGTTTTGATTTGCATTTCTCTAATGACCAGTGATGATGAGCTTTTTTTCATATGTTTGTTAGCTGCATAAATGTCTTCTTTTGGTGTCTGTTCATATCCTTCACCCACTTTTTGATGGGGTTGTTTGTTTTTTTTTTCTTTTAAATTTGTTAAAGTTCCTTGTAGATTCTGGATATTAGCCCTTTGTCAGATGGATAGATTGCAAAATTTTTCTCCCATGCTGTAAGTTGCCTGTTCACTCTGATGATAGTTTCTTTTGCTGTGCAGAAGCTAAATAGGAGCGCTTTTACACTGTTGGTGGCAGTGTAAATTAGTTCAACCATTGTGGAAGACAATATGGCGATTCCTCAAGGATCTAGAACCAGAAATACCATTTAACCCAGCAATGTCATTACTGGGTATATACCCAAAGGATTATAAATTATTCTACTCTAAAGACATATGCACATGTATGTTTATTGCAGCAGTATTAACAATAGCAAAGACTTGGAACAAACCCAAATGCCCATCAATGATAGACTGGGTAAAGAAAATGTGGCACATATACACCATGGAATACTATGCACCTACAAAAAAGAATGAGTTCATGTCCTTTGCAGGGACATGGATGAAACTTGAAATCATCATTCCCAGCAAACTAACACATGCACAGAAAACCAAACACCGCATGTTCTCACTCATAAGTGGGAGTTGAACAATGAGAACACATGGACACAGGGAGGGGAACATCACACACTGGGGCCTGTTGGGGGGTGGAGGGCAAGGCGAGGGATAGCATTAGGAGAAATACCTAATCCATGCAGGGCTTTAAAACCTAGATGATGGGTTGATGAGTGCAGCAAACCACCATGGCACAAGTATACCTATGTAACAAACCTGCACGTTCTGCACATGTATCCCAGAACTTAAAGTACAATTAAAAAAAAGAAAAAATGTAATATTCTACAAAATAACTTGCTAGTACTCTTCTAAAGTATCAGTCATAAAAGACAAAGGACTGTGGAAGTGTCTCAGAATGGAAGAAATTAAGGAGACATGACAACTAAATTCAATGTGTGAACTTGGATTAGATCCTGATCCCGATAAAGGCCATTTGTGGGGCAATTGGTAAAATTCAGGTTATGTCTATAGATTAGTTAATGATATTGTACGAAAGTGTTGTTTTTGATCTCTATACTATGTTAACATTTGACAAGATGTTAATAGTTAAGGAAACTTGGATGAGGGTTATAGCAGAACCCTGCAAAAATTTTTAATTTTTTTACAATTCTTAAGTTCTCATAAAATGGGAAGTTAAAACATTAAAAATGTGGAAATGCAATTCTTAAAGACTGAATTAAGAAACTAGCACTATCTTGTGTCATTTTAGTTCTAAACTGACACATACACACATTCACACATACACACAGACATGCACACAGAAGAGATATAGTTTGATTTTATGGTTACAGTTCATTTCTACACTAAAATGATCATTGCTATTTTGATCCTAGTAAGGATCAAAAGAGTACTTTTTCCTACTCATAAAGTAAGGAAAACAGTTATCTTCTTAATTTTTTTTCTTGCTTAGTCAGGCTATCTTTTTTTTTTAATTTTGTTTATTTCTTTACATATTTTGAGACAGAGTCTCACTCTGTTGCCCAGGATGGAGTGCAGTGGCACAATCTCGGCTCACTGCAAGCTCCAGCTCCTGGGTTCAAAGGATTCTCCTACCTCAGCCTCCCAAGTAGCTGGGATTACAGGCACCTTCCACCACGCCCAGCTAATTTTTCTATTTTTAGTAGAGATGGGGTCTCACCATGTTGGCCAGGCTGGTCTTGAACTCCTGACCTCAAATGATACACCCGACTCAGCCTCCCAAAGTGCTGGGACTATAGGCGTGAGCCACCGCACCTGGCCTGAGGTGATCTTTTAAAAATAGACATCCCAAAGTGTACTTAGCACAGAATATAAAACGTATATGTCTGTAGCATCCACATCTGTACTTGGTGAGCCTTCTCTCAGATGAATGGGATCCCAGCCACTCCCTCTCCCCTCCTTCTCTTCTTCCTGACATCTCCTCCTACCTTCTATGCCATGTTCTGCTACCCTTTTTTTGCTACTGCATTTCACATATATATATGCATTTGTTTCTCTTTTCTACCTTATTCTACCTTGTCTGTAGAATCACTTGTCTGTCCTTGGAATATCATTTGTTGCCTGTTTCCCTAACTTGTGAAATCACATTAATACTTAACTTTCTAGAATAAACTTTCTTTTAACACCTACAACTTGGGTCTACCTTTCTAGTACCTGCCCTGCTTCACTTAGCAAAAGTAATTCTAGGTCACAAGTTCTAGTTTGTCCTGTTTCACTATGCTCAACTATGCCATGTTGTAAAGGCATTTGAGCCTGGAGATGGTTAGGTTGAGGGCAAGGAGAAATAAGTAAGATCAAAAACGTTGGCACTAGCATAATTTGGAACATAGACTTAAGGGACACCATTTGATGCAGTGTTCAGTCTGAGTGATCATTTGCAAACATGGTCATTTACTAAACTAAATACCATGTGTTGACAAATTTAATAAATGGCTAAATGGCCATACAAATATTTTCTTGTAATTCTAAACTCATATACTCTAAAATTAGAATTTTGGCTTGACATAATTTGGCTTTGAATAAATAAAATCCTGAGTTTTAGGTCTGCCTCTAGCTTTTGGGCATAATATTTAACATTTTGACAGAACCTGGCAATCCCAAATGGACACTGGACCTTAAAGTATAATCTATTTGGTCTCTTTTACCAGATTGTATATTCTAGGTATTTGTGTCCTTGCTGGTTTTTGGTAATTGGGCATATTTTCCTCCCGAATTATGGCAACCTATCTGTTGATAAAGGTATTCCAATTTTTAAAAAATCCTTTTTACAGTATAAGACAGAGTGAAAACAAAAGACAAGGAGGGCAAAACTCCATCATCCATTTGGAAAGGAGTTTCAGTTTCTCTCAAGCCAGTTCTATGCTCAAAAAAGGTTGTCGGACCACTTACAGTATGAGAAATTCTGAGTTATTACTATTGCCAGCTTACTTCAGATGTAATTCCCAAATCAGAATCTGTTCTGTGCGGAATTTTTTTTTCAGAGTACCTAACTACTGAGCGTAGACTATCAAAAATTTATATTCCTCCTGTTTGTAGGAAGCATCCAGTCATGTTCTAGGACTCTTCTCTGTGAGGAAAACCACCTTCTGGCCAGGCGTGGTGGCTCACGCCTGTAATCCCAGCACTTTGTGAGGCCGAGGTGGGTGGATCACGAGGTCAGGAGATCGAGACCATCCTGCCTAACACGGTGAAACCCCGTTTCTACTAAAAATACAAAAAATTAGCCGGGCGTCTTGGTGGGTGCCTATAGTCCCAGCTACTCGGGAGGCTGAGGCAGGAGAATGGCGTGAACCCGGAAAGCAGAGCTTGTAGTGAGCCGAGATCACACCACTACACTCCAGCCTGGGCAACAGGGCAAGACTCCGTCTTTAAAAAAAAAAAAAAGAAAACCATCTTCTATCTAGAATAGACAGAATAGAGCAGTAACATGAAGATCTATGTTTTGTTTTGTTTTCTTTTGACAAACAAAGTGACAGAGTGACTGGGTCTCACTCTATCACTAAGGCTGGAGTGCAGTGGCACAATAATCACAGCTTAGTGCAACCTCGAACTCCTGGACTCAAGCGATCCTCCTGCCTAAGCCTTCTGAGTAGTTAGTACCGCAGGTACATGCCACCATGCTAGGCCTGAAGATCTATGTTTTTAACAACAACAACAAAAATATGTTAAAAGACAATGATTTAATAGTGACTGGGGGAACTGAAGAAAAGATGTATTATAAAAATGTTTGTGTTCCTTTTAAAATAATAGCTGAGATATTGAGTGCTTGTGGTGTCAGATAATGTTCTAAATAATGTATGTGCATTAACTCACTTATCTTTACAATTTAGGAGAAAGTGTCATTATTCCTTCTTTTCATACAAGAAAATTAAGGTGAAGAAGGGTGAAATAACTTCCCCAAGGCCACACCACTGGAAGTGGAAGAGCTGTAGAATGTGAGCAGTCCAGCCTCAGAACCCAAACACTTAGAGACACGATATCACATGGTTTCTCTCAGCCAAAGGGAGACATTGTCCACTGAAACACCTTGGAACAGGCCATGAGGGTGGATAAGATGTTATGATGCTAGTTTACATTTTGTAATGATTTAGAGTTTTAAAAAGATACATTTCGTGGCTTTGCACACACCCATACATCTGCCCATAATTATTCGGTGACTTTAAATCATGCAGCAGTATGAATCAAATCAAACTAACTCAATTCAAATCAACCAACCTAGTTTACATTTATCAGTTTGAATGTCAAGCTCCCTACATTCTGACCTTTTCATTTTTAAATCACTAATGCCTTATCTAACACTATTCTTCTTCATGAACATACAACTAAAATGAGCCATATTTATTCAATGTATGCTCTTCGCAAGACCTTGTTCTTGTTTCATTGGAAGGTCTATCCACATGTTCTGCTTGTTTAACTAAATTAGTCTTTCAAGGACTGTCTCACAACTCATTTCTTCCAGGATATTGCTAATAACCTTACTTGCCTCTTGGCCTTTGAACACATCTGAAATATATTTTACATCTGAAATGTATTTTGCATCATAATGAATATGACCCTGGACTGTAATCTTAAGGATGCTGAGAATTCACTGGGTAGAAAAGCTTTCTGAGCTCTGGGTGGTATGAGAGGTATCAAAGATGAGGAAACGTTATAGGGTAATAAAAGGGAGCAAAAAAGAGCTTAGAAAATGTAATAGAAGTCAAATGTTAAAGGACAGTATATGATCTGCTCCCAGATAAAGAATTCATCCTAAGAAATATGAGGAACCAATGAAAAATCCTAATAACTATGTGACTTTGGGGAAAAACTACTGGTTAATCAACACTCTAAGCTGAGTTCTCTCTGTATCACCTTTCCTCTGTGTTTTTTTTTATCCAGTTGTGGCAATGTTGAGTGTAGATTTTTGAGACTTTAAGAAGTTATTCCTTTACTCCAGGTAAGAAATATTGAAGGCTCTATTGACTAAATGAAGCCGTGCAGTGGATCAGAAGAAAAGTGACATATTTAAGAGAAATTTCATAGTCAATTTAATGTGGGGAAAAGGAAAAAGAAGAATTAAGGATAATTCTAAGTTTTTGACTTAGGCAACATAACTTATAATAGTGCCCTTAAGTGAATTAAAGTTTAGAGAGAATTAGGTGTTTCCATTCCCTTACAGTGGGCTATCCCTGTCAATGGACCTGCAGGAAGTTAGGTGACAGTAGGAAATTGGATATAAACACTTGAGATCTTAGCATATTGGTAATTGTTGATTCTATAGGCCTGAATATAAACAACCAAAAGAGTATGTAAAATAGCAGATAATTCAGAATGCAAGGTGAGACATTTCCAAAGCCAAGATCAAGGCAGAATAGAGAAGGTTGAATAGATTCTTCTATTCCCCATGCATACAAGCCCAAATCATTAACAGGCCTAATTGCAGCCCTGAATCCATTAAAGCAATGCAAGAGTAAGGAAACAAAGTAGTGTAGAACTTTTTATGTATGAACACTGACTGTCCCTTTTGATGCAATATTTGTAATGAGTGTATAATCTGGAAAATATATTTATGTAGTTTTAACATTTTAATTCAATATATATAGAATGCAGATTTGCATCGAAGTAAAAATGAATCTTCTCAAGTGAATAATTTTGAATGTAAGAATTATAAATAACCAGCACTAGCTAGTATACATTTAAATTGAATTCTTTTATTTTAAATATTCACATTACAGGAATTCATTAGGTCAGAATAGAACATCATTATTTACACATTCAAGGAATAACTCCAGTGCTAAATCAGCGAGGTACTTACACTGAATTTAGGAAATATGACTGAAGAGAGAGTTTCTTCTTACACATACAGGCTCAAATCCTTTATACATTTATTTCTGCCTTGGAATCTTAGTACATATTGCTGAAATCACTATTAATTGCTGAATAAAATTTCACAAAATTATAGCAATCACACCATATATTTATAAGCCTAGAAAGACATCCATGAGAAGGAATCCATGTTGTGACAGCATGTTTAAGGGAAGAAAATTTCAAATGACATCTCCAGTTTAATTTGTGGAAAACACGAGTTCTCCAAATAGCTGAATATACAGATTTTCTCTGGCATCTTGCCTTTCATGGCTTATTAAAATATTTGCTTAGCTGCCTTAAAGTGTTATGTTATTTACAGTTTCAATCAATGAAGGGAACAATGTGGTAGCAAACTAAGTGCCTAGATCAATGTTAGCTGAATGTCACACACATACACTATCTTGGTTGGTAAAGTCGGCGTCTACAGTGCTAGGACTGACTACTCCTCATTTGAATTAATGCTTTGCTCCCAGGATGCAGCAGGACTCAGCTGCATGATTTTCACTTGGAATAATAGCTACAGTCAATTTTTCTTATCATTATACTAACTTCACTGAAGCTGTTAAATTGAACTGGAAGGAACCAATCTTCTGTAAATAAATAAATAAATAAATGTATAAATAGGATTCCCATCATTTTAATAACATAGCAATGAAATTACCTTCCAACAGTGTAAATGCTTACTGTCATGTTTTAAGTCACTAAGAGCTACGTTCCAGCCTTAATATATTACCATGAATGATTAATTTCATGGGAGGAGAGATGATTGATCCACACATATTACCTGTTTGGGATTAAGCCCTTTCAAAAGCACAGGTATGTTTTCTGAATAAAAGAGAAAAGCTAAACAAAACAAACCCTTCATTAAATGGAATAATTTTTGTTATTTTCAAAGACTGCTTCAAATTATCTGCATGTAAAGGCTCCTCTGCAGCCAACATTCATATTTTTATACAATTTTTATTACTTAAGTTAATAAGTAAAAGGGTAGGCCTACTTTTTCTTCCCCTAGTGATTACACTGGTTGACTGTCAAGACTGCCTAGATGTTCTATGTTATTGCCCAATTTAGTGTTGTGCAGACCTGACCTCAGGTGACTGGCAGTAGTACTGATTTAGGCAGTGTATAAAAAGATATACCATTCTCAGTTATAGAAAAAGCTGCCAGAATATTATGTTCATAGAATGAAACTGGTTAAGATGATATTTTCACATCTTCATGCTTTGTACTATTAAGTTGTTATACAGTAAATTGTATCACTTGCCAACAAATAATTTGTTGTATTTATTGCCAACAATAACTCCAAAAATAAAGTTTTGGGAGAAAATTTACCACAATATGCTGCAGTTAGAAAAAAGAAACGCAGCATTGTTTATTGGCTCATTAGCACTATGAATAACATTTTCACTTTACCAAATGTTGAAAAGGGACTTTTGAAAGGACGTGAATCATGCATACGGATTGAGACAGAGCCTGTGTGTGAGTGGCAGTGTAAATGTCCCCAAAGCTGCATGATTCACCAATTGCATGCAATTTTTCACCTAATATAAACACAACCTTAATATAGTCATATAATTTCTAACACATCTTATTTCAAACATGCATTAGCTACTAAAATAAGATTTAAAGAAAAGTTGATGTTTGATATAAAATAATCATGTTTTTTTCAAGTGTGGAAAAATACTCTACAAAAAAATAAGTAGAAAAATGATTTCTGATCAACATGTGATTTTATCTATAAAAATCCAGATGACTAATTAGTGTGCTTAAAATAACCCTATTGGGTCTGCATCGCAATAATACATACACAGAAAGTTAATAGCAATAAACAACTATTAGCACAATGCAATTAAATTCTTATCAGAAATAACACGAACCTATAAACTGTACATTTGGCATTATGTTTCAGGGTATTTTTAAGAGTTTGATTAAATATGACAATACAATAGTGCAAAATTACATCACATTAATAAAACATACAATTACCATCCAAATAATTTATGGATTACTGACCCTTACAATTCACATAATGGCTAGAATTGTCACATTTTGTTTCAGAATAATAGTTTTGACCTTCCTTGAATGTAAGTCATTTTATTCAAAGTTATACTTGAACTACATAAAAAAGATATTGGCATATGTGTGTCTATATGTGCATTCTTGAGGGAATGAGGCAAGAGAAATCATGTAAAGTCCTAACTCTTCATTTTCAGAACTTCATTGCAGTATTTTGCTTCAGCAACCTTTTATTCAGAGCTCCTGAAGCAATTACACATTAACTTCTTCCCCACCCCTTGTAGTGACATGGCCACATGGAAATGCGCAGTAAGAAAAGAAGAAAACATCTGCACGAATATATGGCAGTTTGTGCACTGTGCCAGGCTAATTAAATTAGAATTTCTAACCAATTCATCAAGATTTATTAAGAGCTTCTCAGGTACTTCTAATGTACAGTCCATCACACTCCTTTTACAGATTAAAAATCTATGGCTCAGAAATGTTAGTGAATTATACAGCAGATTGTGAAAACTGGAACTTGGGCTTTGATCCTTAGTTTACTACTCCTCTTCTTGTTTCTTGTTGACACTTTTCTCCTTTTTGCCGCTTTGTGAACTTGAATCTAGGTACAGACTTGTTAGCTCCTTACTTTTTCCATTTAAAAATCTCTTCTCTACATTCGTATTGTCTTGGAATCAGAATAAGACATATTATTATAATGAAGATGTTTAACCTCAACAATTTCATTCAAGTAATTTTGACCAGTTGCATTTCTGCAAGCACACATTACTTCCTACCTTCATCTCATACATTATTTACCTTTTAGGGATTCTATAACAATGCCATTTTATATTGTCACAATTACTCCCTTAACCCCGATTAAGCTGAAAGTTCTTTTTTTTCCCTTCTAAGTAAAATCTTGTTCTCAAATATGATAGTCTTTGTTTTTTGATTAATTATTTTAAAATCACATATGAAATATTCAAGATAGATTATCTTTTATCTAAAAAGTAGACTACTTCCAGGTTTACATAGACAATCAGATAATCTTCATTTGCTTAAGGACTCTTGAGGCAGAAAACCAGTAAATGAAAAGCCTGATCTCATTACAGTCCCTGGAGACATGTATTCCATCCTAGATGAGCTCATATCCTCTGGCAATCTCACCTTGGACAAGGATGGCATCTTCAGGATTATCTCATTTAAGGAACTGAAGGTGGCTAATGAGGCCAATCTGAGACTGGAGATGTGATATTGTAACTCTGGCCCATATTTCTCACATAATGAGTGGTAGTCCTGGGTTGTTAATTTAGCCTTTGGATACTGCTTCTGCAGAGACTGCCTTTCTATTTCCTGAACCCTCATTAATCAAAATGGAATGCAGCCATGTGTGGAAAGTTAGCATGTTAGCATAACTTTCTGTAGAATTGGCCCTTAAAATTTTTCAGATAAAATCTATATTTGTTTTCCACAATAAAATTCCAGCAAGCTATAACTTAACTTACTTTACTTACACAACTAATTCAAAATTGTTTGGTTTCCAGAGAACTCAGAAAAATAAATCAGTTTTTGAAGTTTTCTAATGTTACTGACATAACAGACATTTCTAATACTCTTTAAAGGAACACAATTAGAAACTACTTAAAAATACTATTTTGAATATCATTCTCTTTTTCATATAGAAAAATAGAAATTTTCCTTGAGCCTACTTTTTTATTCTAACATAGTACAGCTTTAAATTTGTACACTTGAACAACTGAGATTATTCACGTCAAAGCTATTTATTATGCAATTATGGTAGCCTTAATCACAGGCTGGCTAACAATTATTTTATTTCTGAACCACTAGATAAATACTCCTGTTTATTGAAGTTATACCCTAACATATTAAAAGCAACTTTTAGCTTTTTTTTAAATTAGTTTAAGAGTAGATGGAGACTTCCTAACAAATCATTAACTAGTCCTGTGTCAAAACTAGTGGACCAGCTGAAGTGATGGATTAAGTCAAACTGTTAAATATTGCTAGGCCTTTTTCTTTACCAGAAAATGATCTCTGAGAATCTTCTTGCTATCCTATTCTGTGACATGCGCTATACCAACTGATAATAAGTTAAATTGACTACAAATTTACTGATTGCTCATAACAGGGAGAGAAAATTAGGACTGCTTGAGTTCCAATTATCTTAAGAAATGGTATATATATTTAGTAATGCAAACAATGCCTATTCACCACCACTGCCAGCTCCTCACACCCCTTCCGTAACTTAGTAATTATGGGAAACATGAATATATGCTTCCATGCTGTATTTATTTGTTTCCGTTTTGCTGAATGTTGTTCCTTCGGCTTGTATAAAATTTCAATGATTCCTACAAACTGCCTGTTTAATGTCTTCAGAGTTTTAGAATTAAAATTGTGAAAATAGCACTGGATTCCTCACAATTATCTTTTATAAGAATAAAAGATAACACTTGAACACATATCTAGTCACCTGAATATAATTTCTCAGAAATATGCTACCTCTGCTTTACAGCTGCAAAATCTGAGGATAAGAGAAGTTGAGTAACTTGCACATAGCTAGTGAATGGCAGACCTTGGATTCAATTCTAAATCTGTAGTTGTCAAAAATTTGGATGCTACAATTCTTTGCCATATCTCAATTGCAAATTACCTATCAGACAAGGAGACTTTGGAACCCAAGAATGTGGTCTCTTAAACACATACAATAGAAAAGCAGATCACAGAAGCATATATCCTAGTAATTGTCTAGACCAGTCTTTCCTGTTGCAAAATATAAACATGCAGTTAGAACCTAGAAAGCAAATTAGAGATTTTTTTCAAGATATATAATCTTTTATTTTCCTAATAGTTCCTCCAAGACGAGAACTGGTGATTTCCTGAGGTATGCCTGCATTAGTATTACCTGTGGAACATTTACACCTGTTAGACTTCTGGGCTCTTCCTCAAACTAAATAGATCAGCTCTCTGGAGGTGGGGTTTGGACATCTGCAATTTTAAAGCCTCTCCAGATGGTTCTAATGTGCATTCAGGTTCGCGAACTACTATAAGCAACTCGCAACTGGAAAAAGTGTCTGGAGACTATAAATAACCTGCCCCAAGTCACAAGACTGGTGAGTTCCACGCTCTTGTGTGAAATAATTAGGTATACAAAATGTCTTGGATTTTGAAGTAGAATACTTTACCGATATATTTAAGAAGATTCCAGGTGAACTAAAGAAAGGTAATACCTCATATTTAATAGAATACTACCCATCTAAACAGGTGGGATGAAAACCTCAAAACTAGCAGGACACCAGAACCATCTGGGGAGATTTTTAAAATAAGATTCCTGGTCCCATCTCACACCCAGAGATTCAGAAGCTGTGTATTATTAACAATATTTCAAATGATTTTTATGTAGATGATCTAGGAAGTTTCAAAGGCATATGCATGTTTGAGAACTGCTAGTTTAGGACAGGATGGTTCACCAGTTATAGCAGAAACAGGATAATTTTGGAAATGTATTAAAAGCATGCTCTTTTTTTGGGTGACGGGGGGGCATGGATTATTTGAAGAAATTCTAATTTCATGGCTCAAAGCCCAGAAATCGGTATTGTTAACACTTCTGGTGATTCTAGGTCAGGTGACCTAGGAAGCATGCTTTGAGTAAAACTGACAGAAAGCAACTGGTGTTTGAGAGGTTATTTTTAAATAAAATATTTTTAAAGTAAATCAAATGCATGGACATATGTTAACTATGAGCTAAAAAATAACTAAATGTTCAAATGAACTCAATCTAGCTTACTTAAAATTATGCTATTTTATTGTTAGCCTGGGATTGCCTCAGGTATTTCCAATGACTCCCTAAATTTTTTGCATCAATAAATATCTTTAGATTTTTGTAATAAGAGTTTGAATAGTACAGAAAACTCTAAAATATTTCAAAATAATGCCTAAAATATGATTGATTTTTCTGCAGGCAATTAAGATGTCAGTGAGCAGTGAGTTCAAAAGTCATAGACAACTAAGGGGAGGGAGGAAATACAGGAGGAATGTCAGTTAATTGAGCACTTTCTATATTCCAAGCTCTGGATTAGGTTCTTTCCACATATTAGTTTAAATAATCAATTTCATACTTTAAATATCTACACAGAGAAATGAGAAGGAAATCTGTATGGAATATCCTAAAAAATTACTTTGAGATGGACATTGAAATTCCATTAGGAATTTCATGCATATATCAATTTCGATCTTAGATAAGAGTAATAGTGCTAGAAGAAAGCTTACAAACAAGGTCCAGAGAGGTTAAGTGGCTCTCTCAAAATTAGTTTGTTGAACTAATAACCTAGGGTAGCACTCACATTCCAGATTTAGCCGGCTATATCTTATTTAGATTCTGTTAACTGTTTTATAAAATGCATATGAATATGGATATATTCAATATGAATTACTAAAGGGGAGAACACTGTGGATAGTAGTGAAGCATACCCATTTGCAAAATGCTACAAAATCTCTAGATTGAGACATCCAGAAAAAAAAAATCACCTTAATTGACTGATTGCAATACAATGGAATGAAGTTAGGAGAGAGACTATATTTCTCTCCATGTGGTTTGGTAATAGATATCTGCCCTTCACAGTGCTCGCACTTTATACTCTCCTTAAATACTAATTTTCTTTCCTTTTAGAAACAGTTGATATGTTACTAATATTTGCATAGAATGTTAACGTGATCCAAATCCTTTCTAATCTTTCTTGAGATGTTACTTCTTTTGATGCTTTACAATGTTGTAAGATAGAAAGGAATTAAAATGCCTTCCTTTTGCATCCAGGTGACAAACTAACAAAATAAATATAAAATATCATCTCCAATTGGTACCAATAAACATTGTCACTACTCTTAAAAAATATTTTACAGGACCACTTATCACATTCATGTATTTATTCAACAAGTATTTGATATGACCCTCCTGTACATTAGGCACTGTGCTTATCCTTTAGATTCTGATGTTTGTTATATTTAACAGCTCGATTGTAATTGTTAAGAAGTTTCTCAAAATGTTTCTCAAAATGAGATCAGAGTTCAAGGGAACTCAAAGATATGATCAAACACAGTCATAAGGTAAGGACCTGAAATTTGTGGTAACTTTAATTCACGCAAAAAAAAAATTCTAGGATATTACCTTAAGACTCATGGAATCTAGTTTAAAAATAGGCTGACAAAAAAAATATCAGAGGCATAGTTTCCTATTCTTTTAATATTTAACCTCCAATTGGAGGTAAGAATTTAAAGCCTCCGCAAATAATTCCTAAATATTCTGTTGCTTTATACATCAAATGCGCTGAGCTTTCTAAGCCCCTCAAAATAAGAAACATTTCTGCACAATCTAAGATTATCAGGAGTTTTACAGTAAATATAACAATTTTAAGCATGTATTTGTTTCCCACTAAGATGATTTTTTTTTTCAGTTTCTACTTCATATTGTCAGATATACAGCTGTCATAATATATATGACTGTCAGGCTCTCATGTCTTTCTTGTTCAGGGTGTAATACTCTGGATGTGGACAATTCAGTATATATTCTTATTAGTAAGGTCTATAATGATTAACATTTATTTATTCTTACTGATGTCTACAATAATTAATATTTAAATATTTAGAGTATTGAAGGTAATAGCTTTTCGATATTTTGAAATAAAACATTTTAAATGGTCTGTTCCCTTTTTTGTGTCCACAATTTAATTCTAGGCATAATTATTGGTTTGTATAATCAACAGCAAACCAATTTTGTTGAATCAATATATCTTTTTCATGAGTTTCTTACAAAGAATTGCAACCCACAGGATTTATTAAAGGAGTGGCTGTGAACCATACACTTTCTTGAGGGTTGTATTTCACTTAAATGTAGTGATAGCCCATTTCCTTCTGCTGAACTCAACTCCTAAAATATTTAAACCAGAACGAATGCTAACAAGTTTGATGTTTTATTTATTGTATACCTTCAAAAGTCGAAGTTCTTCTACATGAGGTGTACCATTCTATAGGCCCTAAAAATACCAATAAGACATTCACATTTGTAAAAATTGAGACATAATTCTATAATAAGTTATGAATGCGATTGAAAAGAAAGTGGGATAAAGAAAGATAGGATCCTTAAATCCAAATCTTAACTATTGTCACTAGCTGTGGGGTGTGTGTGTGTGTGTGTGTATGTGTGTGTGAATGTGTGTCTTGAATAAATATCTCTGGATCTAGTTAACTCATAAGTAGAAAGAAAAGCAATTATAATTTCTATATTATAGCAATTATAAACAACAAAATTATAATTCCTTCCAGCTCTAAAACTCACACATCAATGGACCCACAGCTAAAGGGTTCCATTGAGTCATTTAATTCTTCCACTTCAAATTTAGGAAACAGTCTTCTGGGACTTAGTAATGGGGTTTCAAAGCACCTGCTAGATACTTAGTAGTACTGCCTCTACTTGCGTCATATTATCAGTGTGTGATTATAGTCATAGTCCAACAAAGAGCCTACATTTGTAGTCAACAATAGAGACACTGCCTTTAGGTCTTTCAGTTCTTTCAAATCATGAACATTCACTAGAGCCAAGGCAGGTTGAAATAATATTGAATGCTTTTAATATTGAATGTTTTTCTGCCTTCAAAAAAAACAGGTGGGCCAGACACAGTGGCTCATACCTGTAATCCCAGCACTTTGGGAGGCTGAGGCAAGTGGATCATTTGAGGTCAGGAGTTCAAGACCAGCCTGGCCAACACAGTGAAACCCATCTCTACTAAAAATACAAAAACTAGCCAGGCATAGTGGTACACGCCTGTAATCCTAGCTACTCGGGAGGCTGATACAGGAGAATCACTTGAACCTGGGAGGCCGAGGTTGCAGTGAGCCGAGACTGCACCACTGCACTCCGGCCTGGGCGACAGAGCAAGACTCTATCACAAAAATAATAATAATAAAAAAAAGCAGGTGCTTTCTAAACTTGTTAGCAGTGTATCCTCTTTAGATCTCTATGCTTTTTATAGACCAAAAAATTTGACAAAGTAAATGTAAATGTATGAATTTGACTGTCTTACCAATTAATTAAATATGGATGGAGATCTTTACTTATTGAGGAGGACATCCACATAAAAATATTATTTCTTAATGCATTGTGGTTAGAAGAGATAATACGGAGAGAATAATATGTTGGGTCAAAAGAGTTGACAAAGTTTGCAGCTCAGAAACATGTCAAACAGCTAAGCAATTGGGGAAATTTTCTACTTTTTTTCCCCATTAAATCAGCATTGACCCATACAAACGTCATTCGGAGTAGCACATGCATATAAACAGTCTCAGGCTGAATTGAAAGGAAGCTTTTATATGTCTATCCACTTAATTGTAAGCTCATTTTAGGCAGTGATAGTACCTTGTTCATCTTATCTCTGTGGGTGTTAAGGCAGTGCCTGACACTGCATTCAATCTTGGCTTAAGAAATATACCTGAGAATCAAACAATCCTCTATTCATTACAGGAATATTCCTCTGCTCAAATCTTTCTGGTGCTGGGGTGAGCTTATTCTCTCACAAGATAGTCTGGATAGCTGGATCTATGCCCTTTTTACTGAATTCTTTTTGAATTTTGCTGATGTCAATTTGTAATACGAATAAGTCACAAATAGACCCAAATGGATGTCTCAGAACATTCTAATTTTTGGGTGGATTATTGGCCTGAAAGGAATAAAGGCACTAAAGATCATTTTGAGGAATGTTTTCCTTGAAGAATCCTTAATGGCCCATCTTTTTTCACCTACGATCTCTGCTTATATCCAGCTCTCCTCTAGCCTTATGGAGGAGAATGCTATAGGCAGCTGCAAGTTCAGGAATATACTCTTCAAAATTTTCATGTAATGGTAGGTTTATTTGGTTCTATAAAGCCCTGAACATCATGGTCATATGTGCTATGTATGAATAATTACCAAAATGGGATATAAAAGTCATCTCCAATTAGTACTTCTAAAGTAGAACTGTCACTTCCTTGAAACAATCATTTTTCTGGGAATTCAATTGCATTTATTTATTCATCCAACAAATGTGCATTGAGATCTTACTGTGTGCTAACACTGTGTGTTTTCTATATATCCCCACTTTATTATATTTAACGTCTTATATTTAATACCTTGATGATAATTTTATTTAGGCTCTCTTAAATGATAGAACTCAAATCAAATGATAGGGCTCATCATTATGAGCCAAATCTTATATCCATATGGTAAAATAAGACCATTTTAAATATTAGGGCTTCAGAAAAAAATCTTAAATTGATACATAATTAAACATTGTTCATAAATGACACCATTTATAAATATATTTATAGGTATCATTTTTCTTTGTTATTTGAGGAAATTATTTGTTTTATTATGACAATGAGTGTCATCAGTAGCAGAAAGAACTGTCTTAGATTTTCTAAAGTATTATTGGGATTACTTCCCAGGTGCTGAAAATCACAACAAATTGGATATTTAAAAATACTTGAATAATTTAATTTAAGACCATGAGAATAAGTAGCTGCAAATCAGCTTAATGAAAATAAATGAGAAGTCTAATAGCTTCCCGAATAGAACAGTTCTGCTTCATATCTTTCTTATTCACTCCATGAATAATTTCACCTTCACAAATGTGATAAACAGGTAAAAAAAATAGATCAAATAGAGACAGTTATACACTTCATTCATCTTCGGAGTCAAAGAGGTTAGAATTCAATCGCAACATGTTCTTCCTCTGTTATAGTATGCAAAGTTGGAACTAGACATTGTAATACTTAGTGAAAATTTTTCATACTTTAAGATGTGCATCTTCATTTCCCAAATAGATTAAACAGCTGATCAGTGTGGAAACAATAATCAAACCACAAGCTTACATTATGGACAACTACAAAAATGTGAAAAAACAATGTTTACAAATGATAATGAAGAATAAATTACTCTCCAGTGCACATAATTAGGTATATACAGGATAATTTAAAACCGAATGGAATGATTGCTCATGCTGAGCTTTTAAAAATCTCCACCAAAATATACACGTTACCCTAGAGAGGGTGATAAAAATAAATTGTGACACAAAAGTAGTATGTTGCATCTCTTCTTATCCTCAATACTTGGATGATATCTCATCAAAATATTTATCAAGTGTGCAAGTGATGAAAAATTTTAATTCCAAAACCATTTCTCTAAATTACCAACAGACTTATATTCTTGATGCCTTTTCACATGATCGCAAGCCAAACATGCATGTGATTCCCAAAATCGTGGAAGATTTACAGTGAAATCCTTCCTCCAGTTAAAGTAACTAAGGTATAACTTATTGTTTTTGTCGACTTCCTTCAGATACTTTGCTAGCTCACTGGGAGAGTTATAATCTTCCACATGAATGAATGAATCTGCTGGAATATAATTCTCATAGTTTTCCCTAGATGGTCCCAGAACAACAGGTACAGAGCCAGCCAGAAAAGCATTGTATAGCTTTTCCGTGATGTAATCCTTGTGGATTGAATTTTCAAAGGAAAGATAAAATTTACAAGTAGATATGGTAGGAATCAAATTTTTATCATTGACATATTCTCCAAATGCTTGCCCGTAGGTATGGATTTCAATGCTTTTGCTTAGCTCATTGTAATACTTGACTCTGGCATGCTCAGGGTTCCAGTTACTCACAACCCAGCACACCAATTTCTCTTTGCTTGGCACTTCAAACACGAAGGGATTTGTGCTTACCGTCAAGAAGCCATAAGGCACTTGGATATCTGAATCACGGCGGTAAGTCAGAGTCAGGTTAAACAAGTGCTCAATGCCACTCTTTTGGGGAGTGTGAGTTGGTGATTCCAAATTCATCCAAATCCATTTCTGGAAGGGTGGCCTAGCTTGCTGAGGTAAATTTGTCAGATCCCAACTGATGTCTCGGTGATGGATCAGAACTGCATGGGATTTGTTGTACAGTGAACGGTCCGTTGTGAGATGGCATCCTTGGATGTTGAACATTGCTTGGCAGGATGTAAGGTCAAAGGTCTGCCCAAATGGCCACACCCACACCAGAATAGTAGTTTCATTAAAATAATCAGTTTTGGTGGAAAAGAAGTTTTTCATTTTCAGCACAGAGCTGGCTGATTCCATTGGACTGAAGATCCAGCTGTTGGTAGGTTTGATGTAAATGAGAAGACATGCCATGAAACAGCCCAGGATAATGCAGACAATTAAAAATGGGCGAAGAATTCCTTTGGATGTTGATGTCATAATTTTTCCTACGAAATAGAGAAAGACAGAAGGGGAGGTAGCGGTGGGAATGAAGAGAAAATCATAAATATATTGGAGATATATTTAAAATCATAAATATGAGATAAACAAGTAGTAATCAACTGCATTTTCCTTTTCAGTGTTATCAAACCATTGAGAGAAACAGAACTTTCCTCAAAGCCAAGAAACAGCTTTCAAAAGGAAGTTTCCCAAAAACTCTTCTAAAAGTACCAGCATATCTTCAAACCAAGTAACGTTTTTTTCAATGCTATCCTTAACTGTTCTACTTTTATTTGCTTGTAGAAAAGTGGCACAACCTAGACTGTCATCGCTAAAGCCATGACTAAAATTTTTAGTATTTTGTAACCACATCAGATTTGTGAACATCTCCCAGTTGATATAATCACTTATTTACTCGCATATTGAGACTGTACCATAACTTTGTGGTTCAGATGGAATTCGTTAGAAAACTAAACTGTTTTTAAAAACGTTATGTTTTTGTTTTTCTCGTTATAAATTTACCTTCACAGTTTGCAAATGCATTAGTATAATCATCTGGTAAAAAAATGGCAACTCTTGATTTGATACATTTTTAAAAAACAAGTACACTCAGGCAAATTTTATAAATTCAAAACTCACAGTGTTTTGTTTTTATTTATATATTTTTCTTACAGTTTTCTTTGTTTACTTTTAATAATTTGTTAGTACATCCAATATCTACCAAGATGTAATAATCAAATGTTCTATTTGCATTGGAAAAACGTTCTCACTTACATAGCCTAAGGGCTTTAAAAAAGTTTTTCTTTGTATTAAGATGATATCGGTATTATAAAAATAAACAAATTCTCAAAAAAGGGCTATATTTCATGAAGAACAACTTTGATGTCATGAATTTTAGCAGATTGTGGCTAAAAAGATGAGTGAAGGCTTTTTTTTTAAAGAAAAAAGTGTTTTCAAGTTTTTTTCTCTTCGGCATTCATGCCTCTTTATGGCTATGAACACAAAAATATATTTGCAAAAACTGTTTATTGATAAAATTCTCACGGGTCATTTGAAATTCATGTTGCTTCTCTTACGAAAATAATATGGCCTATAAATTTCAGACTCATTAAAGTATTTTGAAATTTTGACAGAAACTAGCATAGAAACATTAGATGTTTCCTTCCAAAAAACGGGAGAAATTATCCTTCATTTAATTACCTAAATATATGTGAACATTAAAAAAAGCACCTTCTTTTGCTATGTAGTTTTTCTTAAAGCATATGAGACTCTCTGAGTAGCAAAGCTTGACTGTGAGTCCAAAGATTTTGGACACTGCATTCTAGATCACTCCCAGAACTAAGGTATTGGAATCAGAGATTGCAGCTTCCTGTCAAAGTTGGTTTCAGTTCTATAGTCAATAAGAAAATGAAAACAAAAGATACATATCAAATATGTCTAGGTGCTAAATTATTAATCAATCCTTGGAATACAGAGAAAATCAGGAAAGAATTATGAAGGAAATTTCAGTTATTCAGAATTAAATGACATTAAATGACACTGAAGGTTCTACAAGCCAAATTTTGTTGTATATTTAAACAGAAGGAAATTATAGCTTTGCACACATTTCAGAAAATTAACAAATCGGTCAACTCAAGAAGCTATACAAAGAAAAATGGTAAAATGCTAAAAAAATAAGAAGGAAAAATGTTAAGGTAAGGGCCAGAAATTTGAAATGAGTAATAATGTCACAATATTTGAAAATACTCAAACTTTAGGCAAGAATAATGAAGAAAAAAGAAATTCAAATGTAATACCAAAAATAGCAAATAATTGTTGATTTAGCATAGATAAAAATTGAAGTAACTATTTTGAGTAATTTTATGTTGAAAAATTTGAAATATGACTAAATAGTTGTATTTTTGTACAAATACAGAAATACCAATATTTGTGAAAGAAAAATTCTGATTCAGCAGTTAACAGTTAAAGAAATGGAATTCATAAACAACAACAACTAAAGGCAAATACTAGGTCTAAATGGTTTTCCTATGATATCAACAATTCAATAAATTAGGAATACCATCCACCTTTTTTAAAAATTATTTTGGAAAATACAAAAATTAAGAAAGAAGCTTAGCTCATGAGGTCAATTATAATCTTGTTACCCAAGCAAGATATGACTTTGTTTAAAAAAAAAAAGTCATTTGTGCTTATGAACACAGATGCAAAAATACAAAAATTCAGCAATAATAAATATTAGAAATAGATCGTGATGTGATTCAAGAGTACGTTTATGGAAGTTTAGTTGCATTTGATCCTAAGTATAAATTTAATTGGACAATCTCTCAATTCCATCTAGACTCCAGAACTTACAGACTGAAAAACCTTACTGAAAGGGTCTCTTTTCATTGGAAAAACATTAACTTTTAATATGAATGATTTGACTGACTGTTGCAGTGTTTTCTTCCTGTGAGACCAATGTTTAATGTTTTTAGAAATACTCTGATTAAAAGTTTCCTTAAATCCTTTTTGAACTGAAATGCAATGGCAAAAACCATTAAATAAATGATGTCAGTTCAATATAATCAGGTTATAAATGAAATAGCCACCATTTAATAAATGCTCACCCTTAGCCAGGCCTTGTGCCAAGCATTTTACACACATCATTTCCTTTAATCCTTCTAGAACCCCTAAAAAGGACACCTTTTCTCATCCCTTCACAGATGAGGAAATTGCAGGCCACAGATACAAGTAACCAGCTTAACCACTGGATTGTGCTCTCTCTTTCCTTCTGTAATCTACTTTGAACAAATAATACAAACGTGAATAATCCATTTGCTATTGGTATCTCAAGTTTTGTTGTCTTGATTTCCCTGGTCTCTACCTTTTATTCTGTAATTAAGAACTATTTAACGATGAGTTGAATTTAGATTAATTTCTTTTAACAAGGGTATCTGACACATATATATGGCACTTATTAGTGTCAAACACTGATCTGAGCACTTATATTAACTTATACACACACACACCTATTAACTCATTATATCCCCATTTTATTGATAAAGAAACTGAGGCCCAAAATGATTAAGTGACTTGTCCAAAACCACACAGAGAGTTAATGGCACAAAATACTTTTCAAGCCCAGGCCACCTGGCTTTAGAATCTGGGCACTTGATAATTAACATTTTAGATCACTGATTCCCCAGGTTGCAGCCAGAATATGCAATCATTTTAGTGATACCAGAATGTAAGCTTTGTGAGGGGCTTTGTTTTCTTCACTGCTGTATCCTTATCACCAGAATGTAGTAGATGCTTAATAAATGCTGTATGTCTCATATGAATAAATGGGTGAATTGCTGCATCTCAACTATGTACAAGTACTGTGCTTGGTAGGTAACCAGATATACAAAAATTAGCCAAATGTGAATGAATGAATACGTACTTTGTTTCTTCCTCTGTGCATTTAGCATGGAGCTCTCTATGGAATTACTCCCATTAAAATTGGCATATGGCTATTCCTACCACTAGAAGAGCAAAATCTCCCAGTTTTGCCTCTCTGTTTTGTCTCAAAGTTAGCATCTATCCAGAACATTTTAGTTCCATGTCTCAGTCTCTCTCTCTCTCTCATTAGCCAAACGAGGAATTGATCACTAGACAGAAACGACGTTTCTTCTACTGTGTGGTTTCCAGTTTTCATGCTTCCTGGATATTTTATATAACTTGAGGTTATCCTTCTTAACTCTCTGCTCACCCCCTCCCCTCAATTTTTCAGTGCTGTCAGGGTCAGTTACTAAATAATAGGGGCAGTTACTCAGTAACCTCTACTTTGTACGGAACTGTCAAAAAAAGTTTGCCTCTTGGGGCCAAATTGACATCTCCTTGACAGAATCCTTTTCACCTATTCCTCATGACTAAAATTCAGTTGGATACTTAACATGTCTTATACTGATAATCAATACTACCTATTTTAAAAACACCTGCAGCAGTGTTACTATAGCTCACCAGAGATAGCAATAAACATATAGCACAAAGCAAATTGTAACAGTAAATAGGATAATTAAACCTTTTCAATTATTTTTAGTAGTTTCAAGTACTATGAGAGAATGTAACTTAAAGACTTTACCATAAAAAATAACAGAATCTGGGTTAAAAGTGCTGCTTAACAAGACTTGGTATGCATGATTCAATTTTCTGTTAAGAGATTACCTCCAGTCGTTCTTTAAGAACACTCTACTGGACACGAACAGACACTTCTCAAAAGAAGACATTTATGCAGCCAAAAAACACATGAAAAAATGCTCACCATCACTGACCATCAGAGAAATGCAAATCAAAACCACAATGAGATACCATCTCACACCAGTTAGAATGGCAATCATTAAAAAGTCAGGAAACAACAGGTGCTGGAGAGGATGTGGAGAAATAGGAACACTTTTACACTGCTGGTGGGACTGTAAACTAGTTCAACCATTGTGGAAGTCAGTGTGGCGATTCCTCAGGGATCTGGAACTAGAAATACCATTTGACCCAGCCATCGCATTACTGGGTATATACCCAAAGGACTGTAAATCATGCTGCTATAAAGACACATGCACACGTATGTTTATTGCGGCATTATTCGCAATAGCAAAGACTTGGAACCAACCCAAATGTCCAACAATGATAGACTGGATTAAGAAAATGTGGCACATATACACCATGGAATACTATGCAGCCATAAAAAAGGATGAGTTCATGTCCTTTGTAGGGACATGAATGAAATTGGAAATCATCATTCTCAGTAAACTATTGCAAGAACAAAAAACCAAACACTGCATATTCTCACTCATAGATGGGAATTGAACAATGAGAACACATGGAGAAAGGAAGGGGAACATCACACTCTGGGGACTGTTGTGGGGTGGGGGGAGGTGGGAGGGATAGCATTGGGAGATATACCTAATGCTAGATGACGAGTTAGTGGGTGCAGCGCAGCAGCATGGCACATGTATACATATGTAACTAACCTGCACATTGTGCACATGTACCCTAAAACTTAAAGTACAATAATAATAAAAAAAAAGGAAAAAAAAAGAACACTCTACTGAATGTTAAAGAATGGAAGATAACTTGAAATAGAAAAAGATTAGAGTTGTAATTCTCCAACCACAGATACATATCAAGGTATTAGGGAGAAAAATGTGTAACTAAGGAGAACAGGAGGCTCCCTCATGGAGAGGCAGTCCTACTGTAAGTTTTGATTTTTGGTGGAGGTAGGTATTGAATCCTTATTTTAAATGGAAAGAAACAGGAGCATGCTATAGAACAAAGTTCAATACTTGCTTAAAATGTGGAGATGGAACAGGATAGCTGAGCTTGTAATTTGTGACTTGGGGCATTATTCCCAGATTGCAGCCACTACCTACCTCTTCAACCCACCTCCCCTATCCCAACATCATTAGCAGGATGTTGGGGTTGGAAGAGATTTTCCCTTATGCCATTAGGACTTGTTGGATCAGGACATTTGACAGTCACTGTATAGTACATTTACTATTTTTTTGTGTATGTGTACTATTAAACCATTCCTAATGAGATTTTTTGATAGCTGGTAAAAATATGTGAAATACATAGACCATTTGAACAGAACTTTAGATCAACCTGTGGATCTTCAAGATAAATTCATACCAACTCCAAAGACAAGAAATGAATCACTGACAAATTGAAGGGTGAATTTGGGAGAAATGCCATTTACTTTTGGCATGAAGACACTGGTTGATCTCTGGAATGCTATAAAATTTGTGTTTGTGAACCTTTCTCAAAGATCCTTAGATATAATCCCTGGTATTTCCAAGGGTAAGCCTTTGTTTTATTTCCTCAAGCCCTGAGGAAGTTGCCACCAAATGACACCAATTTTGATCACCAGCACTTTTCCTAAATATTCCTCAGAACTCTCTCTGGTAATAATAAGTCCCTGATTCATTTCTGCAGTGGGTTTCTCTTTAGACAGTCCAACGCATGTCTTTTTAAAATTCTTTTTTCTTCTTTCATTTTTGCCTCAGACATTTGTTTCTACTGGCAAGAGAGCTACAAGTTAGCAAAGGCCTCAGAAGCAGCCTCAGAAACAAAGTTTCTGTCTGACTTTCTACTGCTCTCCTGTCTTTCACCACTCATTATCTCCTAAAGCAAGCAGTAGAAACTAGAATCCCTCTTTCCCAAGGCAGTCATAGAAACAAGAACCCTTTTCCTCCAAGGCCACTAATAAAACCTAAAAATATTACTACAACTTTCACCCATCTTTCCGTGTAAGAACTGGCCATGAAATTTTCTGACCTACCTTATTTGATTGTAGGTCATAAGACCTGCATTCCAGAGAAGATCTTGCCTCTTACCAGAAGGAAGGAATGCTAAAGAGAAGCCAAGAAGAATCTTAACAGACTGGTCTTGCTGGATTTCTCCCCTTTGTTATTTTATTTTATTTTATTTTTTTGAGATGGAGTCTCACTCTGTCACCAGGCCGGAGTGCAGTGGTGTGATGTCAGCTCACTGTAACCTCTGCCTTCCGGGTTCAAACGATTCTCCTGCCTCAGCCTCCCAAGTAGCTGGGATTACAGGTACACACCACCACGACCAGCTAATTTTTGTATTTTTAGTAGAGATGGGGTTTCACCATGTTGGCTGGGATGATCGCGATCTCCTGACCTCATGATCTGCCCGCCTCAACCTCCCAAAGTGCCAGGGTTACAGGCGTGAGCCACTGCGCCCGTCCCTCCTTTGTTTATTATTATTAGGTCAGATCATTTTTGCCCAATCACATTTCCATATGACTGTCCATTCTTCATTAATCCCAAGCATAAAAATGAATAGTTCACCTTAAGTCTTCGAGTCTTAATTCTGAAGGCTCCCATGTAGCATAAAGCTATGATCAAATAAGTTTCTTATGCTGTTATTAATTTTTAAATTAATCCATCTATTATATTAGACTATTCTTCTATTAATCTGTCTTTGTTAGAGGGTTGCTGGCCATGACCCTTATGATGGGGAGGAAAGAGATCACCACCTCTCTATTCCCACACTGGCAATCGCTTCCCCGTCTTCTTCCCCTAATATTCCAGGATCCAAAGTATGTATCTTGAATCCTTCAAAATATATCCATAATTATCTGTATTTTCAAATAAGCCAAAACACCCCACAACAACACTATATGTAAATTCTTAAAAATACAAAGAAATCTCTTTATTTTATATAAGCCATTGGTGTTATCTGATTCTCAACTATTAGTAATCTGTTTATGCAGGTTCAAAGAATAATTTGCTCCCCATATAATCATTGTGATCTTCACTATCATAGTATTAGTACAGGATTCTGCAAAAATCTGAATACTACATGAATGCTTATAATTTAAATTGGGTGGCTTATCTTTTTAGTTTTTTTTGGTTATTGTTTTATTTTGCTTTTACTCCTGGCTACAATTTTTATGCTAAGAACACGTGCAAGATTAAAAACAAAAGCTTTACGCTTTAGCTATTATACACCAAATTATATTCTGTCTCAAAGTCCTATAAAACTTTATATATTCATCACTGCGCTTTCAAAAATTCCCTTGAAACTTCAAATTCTATTGAACCTCTCTAATGGGCATTCCTCCTCTAAGTTCCCACAATTTTCTCCATTAAATTCTGAGCCAAATGCCTCTTGCCTTTGGGAAAAATGCCCTTTACTTTTTGGCACGAAGACACTGGTTGATCTCCGGAATGCTATAAAATTTGTGTTTGTGAACCTTTCTCAAAGATCCTTATATATAATCCCTGGTATTTCCAAGGGTAAGCCTTTGTTTTATTTCCTCAAGCCCTGAGGAAGTTGCCACCAAATGACACCAATTTTGATCACCAACACTTTTCCTAAATATTCCTCAGAACTCTCTCTGGTAATAATAAATCCCTGATTCATTTCTGCAGTGGGTTTGTCTTTAGACAGTCCAATGCATGTCTTTTTAAAATTCTTTCTTCTTCCTTCATTTTTGCCTCAGACGTTTGTTTCTACTGGCAAGAGAGCTGCCAACTACCGCTTTTCCTGTACTGCAAATTTCTTTATTTTGGGCACCTTCTACTGTCTCTCTCTTCGAAATTTTCTTTACAAATTCAGGGATTAGCCTCTTTTAGTTTGATCTTTCATCTGCTCTCTCTCCTCTCTACTCAATCACTAGTCCTTCATCACTGTCTTTATTAACTTTAGAAGCTCTATTTACTGGCTTCAGCTGTGGCTAGAGCCATGAGATCTGACACTGAGCCCAAATGTAACCTGGCTCATGCTCCACGTGCCTTTGGGAAATACCACAGACAGGGCCAGGAGGTGCCTTGCTGGCATTTTTTCAGAACAAGCTTTCCAGCACCCTTTGAGGCCAGCAGTCTTTTATAACTTAGCTGTCAGCACCAGCACTTCTGTGATTATTGTCAGGTTTAGTCCCTTGCAGCCAACAGATTAAAAAAAAAAAAAATCCAAAACTCTCATTTTGGGCTGATAGATTACTAGCCTTTTGGACTTTATAAATGAGAATGTCTTCATTCTAGATGATAAGGTAGGGCAACTAACCCAGTGACATCTTGACATCGTCTTTTCCTTCATATCCACACCTAACCTAGCATCGACTCCTGCCAATTTTACCTCCTAAATATTCCTTATATTAGTAGACTTCTCTCCATTTCCCTAGGTCAAATGTCTATCAATTCTTGTATGGAAGACGGACATTTCTTTCTAAGTGGTCCACCTAGTGCTCCCTTTTGATCCTTTCAATTTGTTCACAGTAGAGTAGATCAGTAGTCCTCAAAGGATGGCACTAGATCAGCAGCATCAGCAACATCTGGGATCCTGTTAGAAAGGCAAATTCTTCTACCAGAACCCAGACATATGAAATCAGAAACTTTGGAAAGAGGCCTAGCAACATGCTTTGGCGAGCCCTCCAAGTAGTTCTGACGTACACTAAATTTTATTTTTTATTATTATACTTTAAGTTCTAGGGTACATGTGCACAACATGCAGGTTTGTTACCTATGTACACATGTGCCATGTTGGTGTGCTGCACCCATTAACTTGTCATTTACATTAGGTATATCTCCTAATGCTATCCCTCCCCTCTCCCCTGACACTACTACAGGCCCTGGTGTGTGATGTTCCCCTTCCTGTATCCAAGTGTTCTCATTGTTCAATTCCCACCTATGAGTGAGAACATGCAGTGTTTGGTTTTTCGCCCTTGCGATAGTTCGCTGAGAATGATGGTTTCCAACTTCATCCATGTCCCTACAAAGGACATGAACTCATCCTTTTTTATGGCTGCATAGTATTCCATGGTGTATATGTGCCACATTCTCTTAATCCAGTCTATCATTGATCAACATTTGGGTTGGTTCCAAGTCTTTGCTATTGTGAATAGTGCCACAATAAACATACATGTGCATGTGTCTTTATAGCAGCATGATTTATAATCCTTTCGGTATAAACCCAGTAACAGGATTGCCAGGTCAAATGGTATTTCCAGTTCTAGATCCTTGAGGAATCGCCACACTGTCTTCCACAACGGTTGAACTAGTTTACAGTCCCACCAACAGTGTAAAAGTGTTCCTATTTCTCCACATCCTCGCCAGCACTTGTTGTTTCCTGATTTTTTCATGATTGCCATTCTAACTGGTGTGAGATGGTATCTCATTGTTGTTTTGATTTGCATTTCTCTGATGGCCAGTGATGATGAGCATTTTTTCATCTGTTTTTTGGCTGCATAAATGTCTTCTTTTGAGAAGTGTCTGTTCACATCCTTCGCCCACTTTCTGATGGGGTTGTTTGTTTTTTTCTTGTAAATTTGATTGAGTTCTTTGTAGATTCTGGATATTAGCCCTTTGTCAGATGAGTAGATTGCAAAAAATTTTCCCATTCTTTAGGTTGCCTGTTCACTCTGATGGTAGTTTCTTTGGCTGTGCAGAAGCTCTTTAGTTTAATTAGATCCCATTTGTCTATTTTGGCTTTTGTTGCCATTGCTTTTGGTGTTTTAGACATGAAGTCCTTGCCCATGCCTATGTCCTGAATGGTATTGTCTAGGTTTTCTTCTAGGGTTTTTATGGTTTTAGGTCTAACATTTAAGTCTTTAATCCATCTTGAATTAATTTTTGTATAAAGTGTAAGGAAGGGATCCCGTTTCAGGTTTCTTCATATGGCTAGCCAGTTTTCCCAGCACCATTTATTAAATAGGGAATCCTTTCCCCATTGCTTGTTTTTGTCAGGTTTGTCAAAGATTAGATAGTTGTAGATATGCAGCATTATTTCGGAGGGCTCTGTTCTATTCCATTGGTCTATATCTCTGTTTTGGTACCAGTACCATGCTGTTTTGTTTACTGTAGCCTTGTATTATAGTTTGAAGTCAGGTAGTGTGATGCCTCCAGCTTTGTTCTTTTGGCTTAGGATTGACTTGGTGATGCAGGCTCTTTTTTGGTTCCATATGAACTTTAAAGTAGTTTTTTCCAACTCTGTGAAGAAAGTCATTGGTAGCTTGACAGGGATGGCATTGAATCTATAAATTACCTTGGACAGTATGGCCATTTTCACGATATTGATTCTTCCTGTCCATGAGCATCGAATGTTCTTCCATTTGTTTGTGTCCTCTTTTATTTCGTCAAGCAGTGGTTTGTAGTTGTCCTTGAAGAGGTCCTTCACATCCCTCGTAAGTTGGATTCCTAGGTATTTTATTCTGTTTGAAGCAATTGTGAATGGGAGTTCACTCATGATTTCGCTCTCTGTTTGTCAGTTATTGGTGTATAGGAATGCTTGTGATTTTTGCACATTGATTTTGTATCCTGAGACTTTGCTGAAGTTGCTATCAGCTTAAGGAGATTTTAGGTTGAGATGATGGGGTTTTCTAAATATACAATCATGTCATCTGCAAACAGTGACAATTTGACTTCCTCTTTTCCTAATTGAATACCCTTTATTTCTTTCTCCTGCCTGATTGCCCTGACCAGAACTTCTAACACTATGTTGAATAGGAGTGGTGAGAGAGGGCATCTCTGTCTTGTGCCAGTTTTCAAAGGGAATGCTTCCAGTTTTTGCCCATTCAGTGTGATGTTGGCTGTGGGTTTGTCATAAATAGCTCTTATTATTTTGAGATACGTCCACTGAATACCTAATTTATTGAGAGTTTTTTGCATGAAGGGCTGTTGAATTTTGTCAAAGGCCTTTTCTGCATCTATTGAGATAATCATGTGGTTTTTGTCTTTGGTTCTGTTTATATGCTGGATTATGTTTATTGATTTGTGTATGTTGAACCAGCCTTGCATCCCAGGGATGAAGCCGACTTGGTCATGTTAGATAAGCTTTTTGATGTGCTGCTGGATTCGGTTTGCCAGTATTTTATTGAGGATTTTTCCATCGATGTTCTTTTTCTGTTGTGTCTCTGCCAGGCTTTGGTATCAGGATAACACCAAAATAAAATGAGTTAGGGAGGATTCCCTCTTTTTCTATTGATTGGAATAGTTGCAGAAGGAATGGTACCAGCTCCTCCTTGTACCTCTGATAGAATTCGGCTGTGAAGCCTTCTGGTCCTGGACTTTTTTTAGTTGGTAAGCTATTAATTATTGCCTCAATTTCAGAGCCTGCTATTGGTCTATTCAGGTATTCCACTTCTTCCTGGTTTACTCTTGGGAGGGTGTATGTGTCCAGGAATTTATCCATTTCTTCTAGATTTTCTAGTTTATTTGCATAGAGGTGTTTATAGCATTCTCTGATTGTAGTTTGTATTTCTGTGGGATCAGTGGTGGTATCCCCTTTAACATTTTTTATTGCGTCTATTTGATTCTTCTCTCTTTTCTTCTTTATTAGTCTTGCTAGTGGTCTATCAATTTTGTTGATCTTTTCAAAAAAACTAGCTCCTGGATTCATTGATTTTTTGAAGGGTTTTTTGTGTCTCTATTTCCTTCAGTTCTGCTCTGATCTTAGTTATATCTTGCCTTCTGAGAGCTTCCACTGCTGATACCCAGGCAAAAAGGGTCTAGAGTGGACCTCCAGCAAACTCCAACACACATGCAGCTGAGGGTCTTGACTGTTAGAAGGAGAACAGAAAGGACATCCACACCAAAACCCCATCTGTATGTCACCATCATCAAAGACCAAAGGTAGAGAAAACCACAAAGATGGGGAAAAAACAGAGCAGAAAAGCTGAAAATTCTAAAAATCAGAGTGCCTCTCCCCCTTCAAAGGAACGCAGCTCCTCATCAGCGAGAGAACAAAGCTGGACAAAGAATGACTTTGACAAGTTGAGAGAAGAAGGCTTCAGATGATCAAACTTCTCTGAGCTAAAGGAGAAAGTTTGAACCCATCGCAAAGAAGCTAAAAGCCTTGAAAAAAGATTAAATGAATGGCTAACTAGAATAACCAGTGTAGAGAAGTCCTTAAAGGACCTGATGGAGCGGAAAACCATGGCACAAGAATTATGTGATGCATGCACAAGCTTCAGTAGCTGATTTGATCAACTGGAAGAAAGGGTACCAGTGATTGAAGATCAAATGAATGAAATGAAGTGAGAAGAGAAGTTTAGAGAAAAAAGAATAAAAAGAAACGAACAAAGCCTCCAAGAAATATGGGACTATGTGGAAAGACCAAATCTACATCTGATTGGTATACGTGAAAGTGATGGGGAGAATGGAACCAAGTTGGAAAACAATCTGCAGGGTATTATCCAGGAGAACTTCCCCAACCTAGCAAGGCAGGCCAACATTCAAATTCAGGAAATACAGAGAATGCCACAAAGATACTCCTCAAGAAGAGCAACTCCAAGACACATAATTATCAGATTCACCAAAGTTGAAATGAAGGAAAAAATGTTAAGGGCAGCCAGAGAGAAAGGTCGGGTTACCCACAAAAGGAAGCCGATCTGACTAACAGCTGATCTCTTGGCAGAAACTCTACAAGCCAGAAGAGAGTGGGGGCCAATATTCAACATTCTTAAAGAAAAGAATTTTCAACCCAGAATTTCATGTCCAGCCAAACTAAGCTTCATAAGTGAAGGAGAAATAAAATCCTTTATAGACAAGCAAATGCTGAGAGATTTTGTCACCACCAGGCCTGCCCTACAAGAGCTCCTGAAAGAAGCAATAAATATGGAAAGGAACAACCGGTACCAACCACTGCAAAAACATGCCATATTGTAAAGACCATTGATGCTAGGAAGAAACTGCATCAACTAATGAGCAAAATAACCAGCTAACATCATAATGACAGGATCAAATTTACACATAACAATATTAACTTTAAATGTAAATGGGCTAAATGCTCCAATTAAAAGACACAGACTGGTAAAATGGATAAAGAGTCAAGACCCATGAGTGTGCTGTATTCCGGAGCCCCATCTCACTTGCAGAGACACACATAGGCTCAAAATAAAGGGATGAAGGAAGATCTACCAAGCAAATGGAAAACAAAAAAAGGCAGGGGTTGCAATCCTAGTCTCTGATAAAACAGACTTTAAACCAACAAAGATCAAAAGAGACAAAGAAGGCCATTATATAATGGTAAAGGGATCAATTCAACAAGAAGAGCTAACTATCCTAAATACATATGCACCCAATACAGGAGCACCCAGATTCATAAAGCAAGTCCTTAGAGACCTACAAAGAGACTTAGACTCCCACACAATAATAATGGGAGACTTTAACACCCCACTGTCAACATTAGATGTACACTAAAATTTGGGGATTCCTCCAATAGCGTGATGTTTCAAACCACAGATCACATATTACCATTCTGTTTTAGGGCTGTTGATGAATTCCAATTGCTTATAAGATAAAAAAAAAAAATGTTAAAAGTCTTCATGTAGCTTAAGGAGCCCTGGATGATGGGGACACAGCTTTTGTCACCAGTCTCAGCACATGCCAATGTTGCATTCCCTCCATCACCATGCTTGTCCCTCTCACAGAGCTGCTCCACCAGCCCTCACCTCTCCCTGGAGCAGATTCCCTCCTCTCTTTACTGATATATTCCTTTTCACTTTTTAGCTCTCAGTTCTACTGGCAGTAGCTTGTGAAAAGTTCCTGACAGTCTCCCAACCTTCCCCGAACAGTCTCCCAACCTTCCCCCAACACACTAAATCAAAACCCCAAGTACACATTTTATAGTACCACGTGTCATTTTTGCACAGCATTTGCCACAGTATCAAGTTTACCTAGATTTGTGTGAGTATACGATTAATGTTGTCATCTCTGTTCAATTGTAACCAGGCTCATAAGGCAAAGATTGGGCGTTTTTACTCAGATTCCAGTCCCTAGTGCCTAAATCATACTTGTCATATTCTTGCTCTCAACGTATGTGTTATGACTGACCAAGGAGCTAACAACCATTCAGCATTTCCAATGTTTAAACCACCAGACTAAGATTTTTATATAAATTTTACCATTTAATTTTCAGGAAAAATGTATTTCTTACTGTTCATTTAACAAATATATATATATATATCAAATAATATATATTTGTTAAATGAAAAATATATGTGCATGTGTTTAAACACACACACACACACACATATATATATATTTCTTTCTATATGCCAAGCATGGTTCCAAGCATTTTGCAGGTAATAATTCCTTTAAATCTCACAACCAGATGAAATATGGGTTAGAATTACATCAGTTTTTCCAGATGAGGAAACTGGTGTACATCTTTCTGCCTCAGGTCACACGTATTGCTTTAAGAATAAATGTTGACAACTGAGTGCAGTGGCTCATGCCTGTAATCCCAGCACTTTGGAAGGCCAAGGCAGGATTGCTTGCTACTCAGGAGGCTGAGACAGAAAAATTGCTTGAATCCAGGAGTTCGAGGCTGCAGTGAGCTACGATTGTGCCACTGCACTCTAGCCTGGGCAACAAGTCAGGTCCCATCTCTAAAAATTATATATATACATACACACACACACAAAAGAGAGAGAAAATGAAGATTCCAGTTAACAGTTGCAAAGACTTCTATGAATTATATGAATGAAAATTTATTTTATGATATATATTTCCCTGGAGTCATTGTTAATTAGAACAAACTAGATTCACCAACACTTCCCTGTCTGTTCTCTTTCTGGAAGCCAACGGCCAGGAACAGTGGTCACGTGCCATCAGGAGAGTGTAGAAAGGTGAATCAGAACAGTGAAGGAATCTAGATTTGTTTTATTATTGGGGTGTTTATGAAGAAATTCAAGGAACATCAAGGATTAATGATGCATTAATTGCTGATCCAAGGCCTCTGTGATAGTTGTATCCCCTCCTAGGCACATTCTCTTTCAGATAAATTCCTTATGTGCTGCTTTGTTGAGTCAGCTTTCAAAATTAACTAACCTCAAAAAACCAAGTTGCCTAAAAACAATAAGGGGAGAGATAAGAAAGAATGTAAGTAAACATTTCACTTATGTCCCAGAGTTTTCCACACAACACCATCAGTTGATAATTTTAAAATATTTATTTTAATCACTTAAAACAAAATAAAGAATTCCCTCCCTGTATATTTTTATAATCCAAATTCCCTGGATCTCATCAAGCTACTATATAAGGTCAGATATTAACTGACTATATTGTGATAGTTTGATCCTTCGTTGATCTTACCACTGAAAATTTCTTTTCTTTCCCCAGTTGTTTCTGTAAAAGACCACAGGAGTTTTATATGGATTCCAAACTTTTCTAGGAATTACAGTCTGCACCCACCCTACTTGCCCTTTATCATTTGGCTGCCACTAGTCTGAGAATCTGTCTGATGCAAGCTCATTTCTGCTCCTCCCTATTGGATGTGTGGGCCCAGAATCCCAAATTCAGTGGTTCCTTGACCTCTAACTCTGCAGTTGCCAGTCTGGCTTTATGTTGCAGTTGGAAAACTGACTATCTGAATCAAACTTTCTTGCTGGTTTCAGTGGCTTTGAATTCAGTGAAACACTCACAGCATCTCTTCCAGAACATTTCCCTTAATTTCTGGTCCTCTATCTGCTAATGATAGAGGCTTTAGTCCAGTTTACAGGGCAGGATAGAGAATCCATGGGAAACCAACTGCTTTATCCTCCTTGACTCTTTCCTACACCCTTTTTTCTAACATTAGGCTTGGCTGGTAACCTGGTCTAATCTTTTGCTATTATGTTTACATAAAATTCTTGCTCTTCCAGTTTGTGATGGTTAATTTTATGTGTTAACTTGCTTGGGCCATGGGATGCCTGGATGAATGGTTAAACATTCTTTCTGGGTGTGTCTGTGAGAGTGTTTCTGGAAAAGATTAGCACTTAAATTGGCGGACTGAGTAAAGCAGATAGCCCTCCCTAATGTGGGTAGACATCATTCAACCCATTTTAAGGCCTTAATAAAGTAAAAAGGTAGAGAAAGGCTGAACTTGCTGTCTGCCTGACTGGTTGAACTGGAGCATGGATCTTCTGTCCTCAGGTTTCCTGGTTCTCAGCCCTTAGATCTGAAATGGAATTGACACCATTGGTTGTCTGGGTTTCAGGCCTTCAAACCACTCCCAGCTTTTGTGGGGCTCCAGGTTGCAGACAGCAGATTGTGAAACTTTTTAGCTGTCATAATCGTGTGAGCCAATACCTTATAATAAATCTCTTTCTATACAGATAAATTTCTTTTATATGTATTCTATATATATGATAAATCTCTTTACTGTTGGTTCTGTTTCTCTGAGAACCCTAATACACAGTTACAAAACAAACACCATCGTGCATATCAGGGACGTTAACATACTAAGAAGAAGGCTGCAGGAGTCAAAGAGAGAGTATTACCTTAGATGGGGCATTGCTATGACAACAGTTTCTGCATCAGACCAAATTTTGCAGGCTGATCATCTTTTGAGCTCATGGGAAACTAATTAGCACCAGCTTTGCTGGGATTAAATAAAAATGTATCACTGTGGTTAATTAGGAGCTCTGAAACTTCAAGTTCAATTTACAATAAGAGAACAAACTAGTAAGAACTGAAATAGAAAAAATAAGCCACAAAGATGTCAACAGCCTAAGAAATAATATGATAAAAGTATAGATTATGAGAAAAGTAAAGAGATTTTTAGAAAAAAAGGCAAGTTTAATCAGCTTGCATCTGAGTAATCTGAAAATGAACTAATTAACATACTTTTTGGAAAATGATGTTATTAGAAAAAAGGTGGAAAGGCAGAGTTTAGAAGTAAATATCCAAGAAAGAGAAATCACTAATCTTAGAGAGACAAATTTCTCGAACCTTGGAGGGGAGGATTTTTCTTATATCGGGAAATTTTTTGGCTCCATTTCTTTCTCCATAGTCTGAAAGGAACATCCTCAAGGGTCATCTTATATTTTGCTCTGATTTCATTCCTAATAAACAATCTTGTGAATATTTAGTTTACCAAGTTGCTAAATACTCAGAAGAAAGTTCCATATTTTGTGAACACAATAGAAAAAATGGAGGCCACTAGAAGAGAATACATCAAAGAGAACATTCTTGCTTTTTTCCCTCCCACCAGAGTGGAAAAGACATCTGTCCTCACATCTAAGGCTGATCCCTCCTCATTAAATTCTGAAATCTAAATGGGTAAAGTTACCTCATTCTGCAGATTATTCTATATTTTTGCTACATCATCCATTTCTATGTTTTCACTGGTTGTTTTCTATCAGAGTTTAAATAAAATCGAAGTTCTCTTATCTTCTATTAAAGAACCTCCATCTTCCCACACATTGCTCCTCTGTTTTCTCTGTGGCCACAAATAGCCACATTATTCATATACCTGCCTAAGGCTCTGACTGGAAATCATTATTTATTTCTTCAACTGCCTAAATCCTACATCTAGTCAATTACTATATTGAGTCCATTGAAATGCTGTGATATTTATTAAATCTCATTCCCTCTCTCCTTGCTATTGTTACTTCATTGTTTAGGCTTATATCATTTTCTGTATTATTATAATGAAGCATTCACTATTATAAATGATGTTGGTCTTGCTTTCCTCCAATTCAAAACAAACACGATGGCTTGAGTGTTATTCCCGCCTTTCATTCCTTCTGTTAAAAAAAAAAATTCTAAAAATATTGTTGAGGAGGAAGGAGTTAAAGCAGCTAGCCTGTGACTTCTTTTGATTATCAGGGGATTCCCCTAGGGAGTGGGGAAGGAAGGTTGGTGGCCTGGTCTAATCTCCTTGTTAACATAACAACTGGGTCCTCAGGGCAACAGACTAAGAACGTTTGCTTAAAAAAAAAGCATTTCTATCTATGAGCTACTTTGAGAAATGTGTTCTTGATTTAGAATTGCTTACTGTAAACAAACCTAAACTTTGATGGATTTATGAGACATGGCTCACTAGGGAATGTCACATAAGCTATACAACAATCTTAAGTATAAAATAGAGATGCTTCTCTCTCAGACCACAGCAGAATAAAACTGGAAATCAACTCCAGAAGGAACCTTCAAAACCATGCAAATAAATAGAAATTAAATAACCTGCTCTTGAATAATCATCAGGTCAACAATGAAATCAAGATGGAAATTTAAAAGTTGTTTGAACTGAACGACAATAGTGACACAATGTATCAAAAACCTCTGGGATACAGCAAAGGCAGCATTAAGAGGAAAGTTCATAGCTCTAAACGCCTACACTGAAAAATCTAAAGAGCACAAACAGTAAATCTAAGGTCACACCTCAAGGAACTAGAGAAACAATAACAAACCAAACCCAAACCCAGAAGAAGAAAGGAAATAACCAAGATCAGAGCAGAACTAAAAGAAATTGAAAGAGACAAACAAACAAAAAAACAAAAGATATATAAAACAAAAAACTGGTTCTTTGAAAAGATAAATAAAATTGATAGACCATTAGCAAGATTAACCAAGAAGAAAGAAAAATCCAAATGAGCTCAGTCAGAAACAAAATGAGAGATGTTACAACTTACACCACAGAAACACAAAAGATCATTCAAAGCTACTAGGAACTTCTTTACATGCATAAACTAGAAAAGCTAGAGGAGATGGATAAATTCCTGTAAAGATACAACCCTCCTAGCTTAAATCAGGAAGAATTAGATACCCTGAACAGACCAAAAACAAGCAGTGAGATTGAAATGGTAATAATAAAAAATTACCAACAACAAAACAAAGTCCAGGACCAGATGGAGTCACAGCTGAAATCTACCAGACATGAAAAGAAGAATTGGCACCAATCCTATTGAGACTATTCCACAAGATAGAGAAAGAGGGAATCCTCCCTAAATCATTCTATGAAGCCAGTATCACCCTAATACCAAAACCAGGAAAGGATATAACAAAAAAAGAAAACTACAGCCCGATATCCCTGAAGAACATAGATGCAAAATTCCTTAACAAAATATTAGCTAACTGAATCCAATAACACAGCAAAAAGATAATCCACCATAATCAAGTAGGTTTCATACCAGGGATGCAGGGATGGTTTAACATATGCAAGTTAATAAATGTGATACAACACATAAACAGAATTAAAAACAAAAGTCACATGATCATCTCAATAGACACAGAAAAAGCATTCCACAAAATCTAGCATCCCTTTATGATTAAAACTCTCAACAAAATCAACATAGAGGGGACATACCACAATGTAATAAAAGCCATCTATGACAAACCCACAGCCAATGTAATACTGAATGGGGAAAAATTGAAAGCATTCCCTCTGAGAACTGGAACAAGACAAGGATGCCCACTCTCACCGCTTCTCCTCAACATAGTACTGGAAGTCTCAGACCAATCAGACAGGAGAAAGAAATAAAGGGCGTCCAAATAGATAAAGAGGAAGTCCAACTGTCACTGTTTGCTGATTATATGATTACATACCTAGAAAACCCTAAAGACTCCTCCAGAATGCTTCTAAAACTGATAAAAGAATTCAGCAAAGTTTCCAGATGCAAAATTAATGGACACAAATCAGTAGCTCTCCTATGCACCAACAATGACCAATCTAAGAATCAAATCATGAACTCAGCACTTTTACAATAGCTGCCAAAAAATAAAAAAAATGAAATACTTAGGAATATACCTAACCAAGGAGGTGAAATACCTCTACAAGGAAAACTACAAAACATTGCTGAAAGAAATCATAGACAACACAAACAAATGGAAACACATCCCGTGCTCATGGATGGGTAGAATCAATATTGTGAAAATAACCATACTGCCAAAAACAATTTAAAAATTCAATGCAATTCCCATTAAAATGCCACCATTATTCTTCACAGAACTAGAAAAAAAATCCTAAAATTCATATGAATCCAAAAAAGAGTCTGCATAGCGGAAGCAAGACTAAGCAAAAAGAACAAATCTGGAGGCATCACATTACCTGATTTCAATGTATACTATAAGGCAATAGTCACCAGAACAGCCTGGTACTGGTTTAAAAATAGGCACATAGACCAAGGGAACAGAATAGAGAACCCAGAAATAAACCCAAATACTTACAAGCCAACTGATCTTCGACAAAGCAAACAAAAACATAAAGTGAGGAAAGGACACCCTATTCCACAAATGGTGCTGGGATAATTGGCTAGCCACATGTAGGAGAATGAAACTGGATCCTCATCTCTTGCTATACACAAGATGGATCAAGGGCTTAAACCTGAGTTCAAGATGGATCAAGGACTTAAATCTAAGACCTGAAACTATAAAAATTCAAGAAGATAACATTGGAAAAGACCTCTAGACATTGGCTTAGGCAAGGATTTCATGACCGAGAACCCAAAAGCAAATGCAATAAAACCAAAGATAAATAGCTGGGACTTAATTAAATTAAAGACCTTTTGCATGGGAAAAGGAATAGTCAGCAGAGTAAACAGACAACCCACAGAATAAGCGAACATCTTCACAATCTATACATCTGACAAAGGACAAATATACAGAATCTAAGATGAACTCAAACAAATTAGCAAGAAAAAAACAATTCCATCAAAAAGTGGGCTAAGGACATTACTAGACAATTCTCAAAAGAAATATACAAATGTCCAATAAACATATGAAAAAATGCTCAACATCACTAATAATCAAGGAAATGCAAATCAAAACCACAAGGTGATACCCTTACTCCTGCAAGAATGTCCATAATCAAAAAATCAAAAACTAATAGATGTTGGTGTGGATGTGGTGAACAGGAAACACTTCTACAGTGCTGGTGGGAATGTAAACTAGTACAACCACTATGGCAAACAGTGTGGAGATTCCTTAAAGAACTAAAAGTAGGACTACCATTTGATCCAGCAATCCCACTACCGGGTATCTATCCAGAAAAAAGTAGTTGTTATACAAAAAAGATACTTGCACATGAATGTTTATAGTAGCACAATTCACAATTGCAAAAATGTGGAACCAGCCTAAATGCCCATCAATCAAGGAGTGGATAAAGAAACTGTGGGTTATATATACGGTGGAATACTACTCAGCCCTAAAAAGGAATAAAATAATGACATCCGCAGAAACCTAGATGAGATTTGAGACTATTATTCTTAGTGAAGTAACTCAGGAGTGGAAAACCAAACATTGTATGTTCTCACTCATAAGTGGGAGCTAAAATATGAGGATGCAAAGGCATATGAATGACACAATGGACTTTGGGTACTCAGGGAGAAAGGAGAGGGATAAAAGACTACAAATAGGGTGCAGTGTATACTGCTTGGTGATTTGTGCACCAAAATCTCACAAATCATCACTAAATAACTTACTCATGTAACCAAACACCACCTGTTCCCCCAATAACCTATGAAAAAAAAATTAAAAAAGAACTATGAAGAAAAAAAATAAAATGGAGATGCCTTATAACATAAATGCTTCCTATTGGGTAAGGTGACATTGTAGACTTCTATTATTCTCAACCAGAGACTATGTGTTCTAATGTGAAAAAGAGGGCTGTGGAAGCTAGTAGGATGTTTTAGATCTCTTCTTGCCTCTTCATTGATTGGATCCTTAAACTACAGGTAAAGCTTGATACTGGACACAGTCTTTCATTGAAGTGAGTCTGATATGACAATGTGATTTTTATATTAACTTAATGTTTATTGTATACGATTTTGAAAATACACACATAAGTAAATGAAAGCAGTCTATACTTCAACTCACAGAATTAATAACAATTTCTAGCCTTTACTGTATAGATCTATTTCCTTATCTTAACTATATATTTACCTATCTACTTTCAATGACTAACTATGTATGTTATTTTTAAAAACAGTAATGAGAACCAGTAGGTAAAGATCTCTTTTCTCCTGCTTTTCTTTTTTTTTTCTTTTACTTAACAGTAAGTTGGGAGCATTTGCTTAAGTCATCAAGAAAAATTTCATTTTTATTTACAATAACCAAGATATAGAATTAACCTAAGCGTCCATCAACAAATGAATGGATAAAGAAAATATACACAATAGAATACTGTTTAGCCATAGAAAAGAACAAATTCTGAGCTTGGAAGACATTAAGTGACATAAGTTGGGCACCAAAAGATAAATACTGTATGTTCTCATTCATATGTAGAAGCTAAGAAAGTTGTTCTTACAGAAGCAGAGAGCAGAATAGTGGTTACTAGAGGTAGGAGAGTGTTGGTGGCAGGGGGATAGCCAAAGGTTGGTGAATTGATACAAAAGTATGCATGTGTTAAAATATCACACTGTACTCCATAAATATGTACATTATTATATGTTAATTAAAAATAATAATAAAACCAAAAAACCCTTCACTTACATTTAAAAAATGTAAACAGGAAGACCATCCACTGGTTTCTGGACTATGTGGGGCACATGGCACATTATTCTGTCTGACAACACTTACTCTGGACACAGCATGCCTGGTTTCAAATCATGGATCTACATCTGGCTCTCTGTGAAACTTTTGGGCAACATCCCCAACCTTCCATGTCTCAGTTATTCATCTAAAAACTGAGAAAAATGCCACTATGCTAGATTTGTGCATGTAAAATGAATTGATACATGTAAGTAACCTGGGATAGTCCCTGGACATAGCAAACACTCAGTAAACATGACCGGGAAAAATTGTTGCACTTACACTTGCATGACTTAAGATGTATACTTGTTTCATTATTGAATATGAAATTGCCACCAAAGCAGTAGCAATAATAAACTTTGCATTTCCTCTGAGAGACAGGATTGCAGAAGATTTTCCATGAAGTAACCTAGTTACTTAACCATCGAGCAATAGGTCACCTCTCACAAAAAGAAAGTGGTATTTTACAGCATGAATGTGTCACTAATTGTCATTGGCCACAATGCAAAAGGCAATTTGCTCCATTTTAACTTGATTTTGTCTCATCTTTTAGAGTAATTACTGCACAATTATTTTGTCATAAGCTGTGTGTTCAGTAGGCAAATCTGGCTGTACGAGATTAAGAAACTCATTTTCTCTGATGTACTTTGCCCCTCTTTGACCTTCAATTTCTGAAAACATATTTTTTTTCAGGTGTTCTCTTTGGGAATAAGTGATTTTCACTCATTATCATTTTCTTAATTTTTATTGTTCTTATGTATAAGAATTCCATCTTTTCTTTCAGCCAGCAAGGTAACTTAACCAAAACTTTGCATATAACAAATGTTCACTAAATATTTTTAAGTTCATGTATTTATGTAACATAGTGTTTTGAATAGTATCCCTCTTAAATAATGCATAAGCAAAAAAAATTGTTAAAGTAACATATAAATCCTGTTGAATAATAAATACCTTTGAAAGATTTTGTCTTAGTAAGAAAGATGTTCCTCCTCTGTGCTCCCATAGCTGCTGTGCATCTCTTTGACATAGCACTTGCATTATAATGACACTATAATTGATTTGCCTGTGTTTCTCCCCTATTAAACCATAAGCTCCATGGAGGCATGAACCAAATTTGTTTTGACTTTCTATTCTTTGTACTTAGCACAATTTCTGGTACACGGGAGACATAAATATCTACTAAATGAGTAAATATGTATTGAACAAATAAATATAAAAAATGAATGCATGAAAGTTCAATCAAACATTCTAACCTGATAGTTTTTTTCTTGGTTTGTTTGGAATGAAGAAGGACGAATCTTCTATGGTCATATACAATACGGGATGACTATACCTAAGATCCCAATAACTATATATTTACAGCTATAACAATTTCATTGCATTGAGAGAATGAGGTTTCTGCTTCTTGTGGTATAAAATAAGACCCAGATTCTTTCGAAATCCCAAAATGACAGAAACTACAAAAGGTGTTTTTTTTTGTAGTTGATAACTGTGAAATCAAAGTATTAATGAGATCCTTAAAGAAAAAGGACATATTTTTTTTCACCATGTGATTTTATGGATTGCAAATAGTGAATGCTGATGTGAAGCAAATATTGGCACAGTGCAAAAGGGAGATGGGAAGTGGATATCTCTGTGTTTATTATATTAAATGATTAACATAATGATAGGTAAAGAAGACCCTTAGATACTACAGTTCATATTCCTTCCATTTATATTTCAGTTAAAAAGAAAATCAAATGAGGAATTGAAACCCATAAATAATTCTAAAAATGATGGATTATTCAAAGCCTAGAGCTGGTTTCTCTTTAACTAATAATTGTGAGGTGGTTGCCAATGGAAACAATTTCAAGTCTTATGTTGACTAAAGACGAAGAGACTCATTAGCATTTGAGCCGAGGACAATAGAAAATATTCAAAAGACAATTTTTCTCTGGGAGGTATCTTTATGAACATCTAGTCTTATAGCCTTATTATATAGTTTGATTGTATTTTCAAATAGATACATAAAATTTCGATTAGTGCTAATATCACATATTTAGTGGCACAATAGAAATGACAAACCACATATATTAGCTTCTGGGCCAAGACTTCTTCCATAATACAGTGTCTCCCCTTTTCATAAAATGAGGAAATACGTTGTGATATTAAGAATTCAAAATGAATTCAAATTGAATTCATCAAGTGGGTTAGGATTAAAACTTAAACAAATGTAAATTCAAAAGGGAAAAATCGTGCCTGGATATTGAATTGACCCAGTGGCTTGTCTTGGCCATCCTGGTACACATCCTTTCCTATCTTTTTCCTGCTTCCAACACTGCCATTATGTTCTGGGCCTCTGCACCCAGCAAAGTCTGGCATCATGGGAGCTGAGGAGAATGGCAGTGTAGGTGGACCCCAGAATTTGTTCTTAAGTGTGATGCTCTTTTAGTCCTTTTAAGAATGGGAGTTCCTCACAGTATGAGCAAACAAAGGCTGCCTATCAAAGACTGCTTCTGCTCTGGGGAAAAAGATGTCTGTATAAATATTATTGGTTGGTGTAATTCTAATGGAAGAGTAATAATTTTAAGAATAACTAGTTCTTACTAAGCATTTACTATGTGGCAGACTCTATATTGAGGACCTTAGTAACATTAAGTAAAAAAATGATAATAATTTTAATACCTTATAGGATTGTTTTGAGAATTAAATGAGATAATATATCTAAATGTTTAGAAACTGCCTGACTTACCCAGGGGCTGGATGAAAGATAGCTGTTACTATACTTACCTCATTTAATCCCAGTGATTCCATGCAAAGGTGGAGAGAAGTTCATTTATTTGGAGGCTTTGGGGCTGGAACACAAACCATGCTCTTTACCAGGAGTTAACTTCCTGTCTTCCAGGAATTGTGGTTGAATGAGAATTAGGAGTGTAGTCAGAAACAGATAGGTTTTCTGTTTTTTTATATAGCAGGTGGTCAAGCTTTATTTAGCAAATTCTGTGAACCTTAATTTTTTCATTTCTAGATGAGTATAACAATACCTATCTAGGAGGACTGTTGTAGGGGAAATTTAACATAACATGTAACTACATTATTTTCCTTTCTGAACTTTCTCAATGCATGACCTTTATCCTAGCTGGCTTGTCATCTATTTTACCTTGGGGGTGGGTAGGATAAGTAAATTCAGATTTATTAGAGAAGGACTAAGAAGAGAAAGAAGACTGTAATTTTCACCTTCTGACATATAGTAAAAGATACAAACTCAATTGTTTTTAGAGAAAAAAATTTTAATGCTTTTAAACATATCAAGATTTAGGATTGAGGGAAGTTCTCTGGGTTTGATCTAAGTGAGGAGTATCACATAATTTAGGGTAATATTTAAAGGAGATAGAAGTGGCCTCTCACAAACCATGGGAAGAGCCAACAGTATAGTCAGACACCTGAGATCTTGAGACAGTTCTCCAAATTGCCCTTGTTTTATGTATAGTATGGGTGGGATGTAGATGCAGCTGGAAAGCTTGTCAGAGGGGATTGCCATAATGTGATGAAGTAGCTGTGGGACCTGCAGAGCCTAAGACTAAGCGGCAGTCACAGCCAGACCCCTGAAAAGTCATAGCGCCAAAGGAGCTGAGGAGAACCAAGACAGCCAGGCAGCTCCACATAGTGCCCTTCCTGGAGAGTCCCAGATTACAAATTATCCCGGCCGCAGAACCAAAGCCAGCAGGGCAAGCCAGAAGCAAGGAGCCAGGAAGCATGGCCCTGAGGTTAGCAGATGAGAAGATGCCTCTACTCATTCTCTTGAATTTCAACTGGGCAAGAAAAATAGGTGAAAGGAGAGAATATCTGGGCGAATGAAAAAGCAAAATTTCCCAAAGGAACTGTTTAAATCCACAGTCAGCAAACTATAAGCCTGGTGGCCAAATCCAGCTGCTGCCTAATTTTTAAATAATATTTTACTGGAAAACAGCCAGATTTACCCTTTTCTACATTGTCTATGACTGCTTTTGTGCTACAATGACAGAGTTGAGTAGTTGCAACATAGACTGCATATTAGGGTTTCCCATAGAAACAGAACCAATAGGATATATATAAATATAACATATATTATATATCATTGTATATTATATGATATAAAATATTTCAAATACATATTTTATAAATGTAGAGAGATATAAATAGGAGGGGATTAACTAGAGGAGTTGGCTTATGTGATTATGGAGGGCTGAAATCCCACAGTATGAGGTCCACAGGCTGGAGAACCAGGGAAACCAATAGTGTGGCTCGGTCCAAGTGCAAAGCCTGAGAACCAGGGAGTGGGCCATGTAACTCTCGGTCCAAGGCTGAAGGTAGAGAGGGAAGGGGCGCAAGCCCTGGAGTCTGAAGGCTGGAGATCCTGGAGTTCTGATGTCCAAAAGCAGGAGAAGCTGAATGTCTCAGCTCCAGAAGGGAGAGAGAGAGAGTGAATTCTTCTTTCCTCTGCTTTTTGTTCTGTCTGGGCCCTCAGCAAATTTGTTAGTGCCCAGTCACGTTGGTGAGAGCAGATCTTCCTTACTGAATCCATTGATGAAAAGCCAGTCTCTTCTGAAAACACCCTCAAAACAGACATCCCCAGAAACAATGCTTTACCATCTATCTGGGTATCCCTTAATCTCATTAAGTTGACATCTAAAATTAACCATTACAGACTGAATGGCCCACATAGCCTAAAATATTTGCTCTCTGGCCCCCTATAGAAAGTTTGCAATCGCTGGTTTATAGCACCAGGTAAAATTTATTTTAAAGTGTAATGTGCATTCATTTACTTATTTTTTCATAATATTTGAGGCTCAGGTAGAAGGGCAGAGTAGTTTTAAACAAGAAACTCTATATTTTCAATGTACATGCCTATTAAATCTACATTAAACTAGGTGCCCCATGGCATTTGTATTTACATAAGTATCACAGCTAGCCACCGAATAGGTATAATATTTGGTATTTGATTTATATATTTAGCATCGAGACCATTAATTTTTCTCTGTTTCTTTCAAAGTGACCATATAGCTTACACATTTATTAGCAGACAATGTAGTATTGGGGATGTATTTTGTTGAGATAAAAGATGGAATGAGACAGATAGGAAACAAAAATACAAAGCCTTACCTTTACTCAGTAAAGACAGAGCTAAATGTTCTACTGGGAAGGAGAAGCAGGTGACGGGGCCATGGACTTGGAGAAGCACTGTTTCTTTCTCTTTAATGAGCTCCAACATTTCTCTCCTAAACTGTAATGTCTGGTAACTGGGAGCCACAAGATATTCCTTTAGCTTTAAATAGTTCTTGAAAGACACTTGATATCTTGCTGAGGACATTTTCTCAGTCCAGCTCCAGGAAAAAAAAAAAAAGTCTTCAATCTAGCTAATGCCTAATTATTAAGGTAAAATCGTGATCGGAATAGCAACACTATTATTTAGTCCACAGCAATGTTTAGTCTAAGATCCTGAAACTTTTTGAAGTCAGCCACCCCTTTGGGATAGATGAATGCTTTAGAATCTGATGATTTTTTCTAAATGCACATATATGAAATGGATTGCATTGAATTTCAAGGAGCTTTGGTTTGTGATGTTTTCTAGGTCATCAGTTTAGGACTTCAGAACTGTTATGTATTGAAAAAGTCTTTGAGTTTACTATTATTTACTTCCTAACTGTGCATTCTTATCTTCCTTCATTTATTTCCATCTTCTTCAACCTTTCTAACCTAGTCACACTTTCTCAGTTCACTTTATTGTTTCTTTTCCTGGTTCCAAATAAAAGCACAATGATGAACTGGGGGAAAACAAGACCATAATGTGTGTATTTTGTTATCGTGGTAATAGTGAGCCTCTTATTTAGAGACCCCTGTGTCTATTTCTGCCAGAAGAAAAATCCTGGTAGGTATTGTCTCTTCATTCTCTGCCTGCAAGTATTGCTGTACTTAACTGGTGAAAGATGACTGTGCCAATCTATAATCTTATCCAGTGGGGATGTTTTTTTATTTTTAGGTGTAATTTACTTCTTTCTTATTATAATTTGCCATCATTTAATTTGATTCTGTCCCCATGTAGATGGAAAACATCTGGTCAACCATTTTTACAGCACTTTTTATATGCTTGAAAACAGTTATTAGTAATCCTCAGTTCACATTTCTTTAATAATAATCTAAGTTTCTTTAACATCTCTATAATAATGTGCTGCCCTTAAATACAAAGCTGGAATTGTTAGGACATTAATTTTGAGTCATTTTACAGGAGTGGTGAAAAGTTTGTATTTATTTAATCACATCTCTTTAAAGTGTTGCTTGTGAATTTCTAAAGTAGGGCTTGAAGTGGTCTGTGACTGCAAAACCCATGAAGGAATTACTGGGCCACAGGATTGCATATTTCCTGTCTCAACCACTGGAGCAAATTCCTCATTTTAGAAGTCCTAAATACTTCTTGTATTTTTCTTAATCTTGATTCATATAATAAAATTTCACATTCCTTTTTATAAAAACTAAAAAACAATCAACACAAATAAATTATTAACTATTTTGTTATGCAAAATGGTTTTTTAATAGAAAATTTTAATGACAACAATATGGCTGTCACATTTAATTTAAAATTCAAAACTCTTTTAGCAAAGCTGTAAGAAGATAGCAGCAGATCTTAGGAGATAGACAGTATTAGAGAAAAAAAATTTGTGTGATTTTTATTTTAAATGTCCATAATACATTTTGAATTATCATATTTAGCATATTGTAAATATAAAAGACAAGATGTTTCATCTTGCCAAATTCTTACCTTTATAAGACAGATGTAAGAGTATTTTATCTGATAAAATAGTCACCAGTTTTTTCTTTTTTTTGTTGAATAGAGTTTAAATGAAAAAAGAATATGAATCAAGGAAACCTCTAGTTAATAGAGAGAGTGAGAAAAGAACATACTGAAGGCCCAATTCTTGCCATGGAAGAGGCAAGGTCATATGACGATGTGTGATACATTCTCCAACTTATCCAAGAAATATGATCAGTCGTGAACTTTATGTTGAGTACTGTTCAAATTGCTGTTGAACAGCAGGTAAAGATGGAAAAGTTCTCTTCTCTCATGTAGCTAACATTTTAGTGGAGAATGGCAGACAAAATAAACACAAGAAAGTAAACAAGACAATATCAGTTAAGGCAAGTCCTTTGAGGAAAATAAAATAAGGCATAATTCTACAGAGAGACTAGTGTCTACATAAGTAAGATGACACAGGCATTCTTAAGGCAAGACTTAAATGACAAGTGGGAGCCAGCACCTCAAATATCTGAAGAAAAATCAGCAGAGAGGAACTCAGGGAAATGGAAAAATGCCATTGTGACTGGACAGAATAATGTGTGTCTGTGTAATTACTCATGTACTATTCCTCACAAGAAATGCATTTTCTGGCCTTTTCCACCAGCCCAAATTCACACCTCCCATTTTCTACAAGTCTTCCTCTAAATCCATAAAACCATTCATTTTGACTCCAGCCTTATAAAAATGTTTCTGTTTTTAAAATTTTTTCAATGGTACAGGGAACCTTCACACCTAATTCTAAGTTATGTAAATGTTTGTACATGGCTCTCTTATGTCCTCAGAGTATAAAGTGCTCCCTTCAAGATTGAGAACCTATCTCTTTATTTTGTCCTCCAAAGTGCCAATCTTTTTGGACAAATGAGAATTTTGTGCATGTTTGTCAATGTATTGTGCAGACAATCTTTTGTTTTGATGAAGAACCTGTTTGTTTGCTGCTACTCGTCAGCCTTAAACTTTTAGTGTTTGTCCAGTTTTTTTTTTCAATAACGGGCTTCCTTTCCTCCTTGTCTTGACTTTTGGCAGCAATCTCTAAACACTGGTGGTATGATGTAGAAACCCACACTCTACTAAGACCCTAATTTCCTAGAAAGGGGCAAAAATTTACAGGGGTCAAGTATCTAATAAACTAAACATCTCTCAAGTGTGGTAGCAATGATTTCCAAAAAGATGTAACAACAATCACCTGAAATTGTATTCAGACCCATGTAGAATCATTACTAAGCATTTTGGCAAAAATAAAATGATATGAAAAATGTATATGGTTGTAAATGTCAATGTTTCCAACAAAAATGTTAAAAGAAATTTTTCATTCAAGTTAGCTCACGCAGATTACAATGGACTGAATGTTTGTGTCCCGCTCTCCCAAATTTATATGTTGAAATCCTGACCCCCAGTGTTTTGGTATTAGGAGGTTGGGATTTGGGGAATTCATTAGGTCCTGAGAATGAAGCCCCCTCTCCCATAAATAGAATTAGTGCCTTGTGATAAGGATCCCAGGAACTCTTTCCACCATGTGAGGATACAAACAGAAGAGATCCTTCACCAGAACCTGAACAAGCTCACACCCTGATCTTGAACTTCCAGCCCCTGGAACTCTTAGAAATAAATTTCTGTGGTTTAAGTCTCCCAGTCTATGATAATTTGTTACAGCAGCCTGAACTAAGACACTGATGTTTGGAGGAAATACATTCTACCATAAGAATTGCAAAACAGTAGTGAACCATAAAAGGTCTTACATATTAGACAAATTCTTTATTCTGCTAGGTAATTCAAGATGCGGGTAGGATGGTGTTTCAGGACACTTGACTAACTTAAGGGTTAGGGTTAGGATGAATGAAGGGAACCAAGAGTAGAAATCCCATGAGGTGATGGAAAGTCTTGAATAAGGTAGAAGGATTCAAAGTTTTGCTGCATGGGCCCTTTCTAAAGCTGCTATTTAGAATTTTTACATACTTTAGGTTAAAGATATCACTATTTTGTTTTTATCCTGCTCCAGAAAAATAAGAGTCATGCATTGAGATAAAATCACCTTGGTATGCACGGAGCAACAAAAGCAAAATGTTTGTGAGCCATAAGTGGAGGAGCTTGAAGGAGTCTAGATTACAAGAGGAGGAAGAGCGTCTCAGACAACTATTGTGTCCCATTTCACCATTCTCTAAGCCTTACTGGGAACTCCAGCCCCTGTTTATGTGGTGTGATGGCCTCCATTCAGCCCTCCACTAGCTGTGGCAGTTGGAACCCAACAGTGCCTTTTCTTGGGCTACAAGCCAACTGCTTACTGCCTTGAGTGAAGAACATTATTGAGCTCCTGCAACGTACTCATGCATGAGCAACCCAGAAGAGCAGGGCAGTTAATGTCTGAGGAGTCACTCTCATCCAAATGCGGGTTGGAACTGACAGATAAATGCTTTCATCTTTCATCCTCCAGGAAAACAGCTCTGAAGCCTCCTCAGAATGTGCCATGGGCTTGAGTCTCAGTCACCTGTTTGGTTGCCAACTTGAAAATGCATTCTGGAATCAGTTATTGCCCCTTTTCATTTTCACTTGCCCTGTTCTGCACTTCTGTTTCTTAGGATTGTATGCTCCTCCAAATGATTGGCAATCAAGTCTTTGTCTCAGACCCTGCTTTCAAAAGTACTACAGCTGAAACAGTGAGAATGTAGGGAAAGAAAGGGGGAAAAAAGCAGAATGAGTGAACTACATGTTGTCCTCAAAAGTGTAGACAGTTACTTCATTTATGTACTAAATCACTGTTATGAGTAACTTAGAGAAAGTGGGACAGTTTGTTTTATCACTGGAATTTTCTTTGAATTTCTACTTGACTCAGAGCACAATCCCCAAATGTCCCATTCTCCAGGGTTTAAAATATGTTGTATGAATGGAGAGTTAGAAAAAGATATTTCTTTCTAATACCAGGACAGTGGTTCTTTTGTCATTATTATATACTTTATTGATTTGTATTAACTTATGAAGATATCATAGGAAAACCATTGTTTTCAACCTAGAAGGCAATGATTCTAAGTGACAGTAACATTATTTTCTTATTTTATTACTATTCAATTGTGTGTGTGTGTGTGTGTGTGTGTGTGAAAGGGATTTTATTCTGATTTAACTAGCTCTAACTAGTTCATTGGCTATTCTTTTGGAAGAAAAAAAAGGACAGTTTGATTTTGATATATTGTTGTACATAATCCTAACTTATTAATATGGGTATATTTTTCAGTTTATGGTTAGAAAAAATCCCTGCTGTTAACATTAAATCTTATTTATAACTTATTTTAAACTTCTGTTAGAGTCAAACTTGGGTTTCTGCATTTATCCAATAAAACATTTAACTCTAAGGATCACAATATCGATTTGACCTACTGTGCACATTATAAACTACATATACTTAGCAACCTCATGATATTTGGGTTGAAACTCAATTTTCCTGAATTATTTCACATCACCAACTTATAGGTAAGAAAAGTTTCGAATGGCAAAGTGAAATTGAGCTTCTTGTTATGCTGTCTCTGCACATTTCCTTCTCTGAAATATTATATTTATAATTTCATTAGACTTTTCAAAACATATCAGAATGCAAGCATTTTTCAGTATCTAATTCAGTTAGAACTGCAAATGAGTCCTATTTGTTTTCAGGGTTGGTTTTATTCAGAATTACTTGTTTTATAATTACATGTGAAATAAATAACCTGTTCACAGGCTAATGAAAGAAATCACTCACTCAAGTTTTCTCCAAATTTCTTTGGTTGGCAAAATTAACCTCTCACTCATCTTTGCCATAAGAAATTAATTTACCTTTCTTTTCAAAAGGAGAAAAATTATTTCTTTAAATTTCGCCAAATGAGTCAAAATAATAAACAATTTTAAGGAGCAAAAGAGAGAAATTTGGTAAACACAGAGCATTTAAAAGAGATTTGAATAAGAGAGAAACAAAGGCTTAATTATACTGCCGAAGTACTTTAGAATAGTTCTTTGATTTTAAAAAACCTAAAGAGCGAAAGACTTACATTTAAAATGATTATACACATCACCAATAAATAAAACTTTTTCCTGAGAGATAAGTCTAATTCTGATCTTCAGTCGAGACCTCCCCCAATATAAAAACAAAACACTATTAGCAACAAAACCACTCCCTCCACACCTAGCAATAATGAAAAATAAATTGTTACTTTCTGAGAATTATGATTGTTTCATTTAACTTATACCTGAGATTCATTGAGTACTTACTATGTGCCATAACTATGCTGAGTTCTTTATTTGCAAGATTTCACTGAACTCTCAAATAACCTTATCCTCCATGATAATGACATTATTTTACTGTATTTAATTGGGAAATGAATGTAAAATACAACTGAAATCATCAGCCCAGCTTACTTTGAAGTTAGAATTAATATCAGCGTATTTGCTTCATATTCATCAGAATTTCTGTAGGCAATATTAAATTGCCCATCAGCAGATTAGTTACTCACTACTTGGTAAGTCACTGTAGTGGACAGTGTAGGGCATCACCCAGCTCCCTCCTTCAGCGCCTTGGTACTCATTGGTTTCCCCAGTTGCTGGGCATGTTGACTGCTAATGATATATGTAAAGAACAGAACGTCAACCCACTTTTATTCCACATATATGCTTCTACTCCCTTCTGTTCAGACCTAGCAGCATCTGTACCCATATGCCATGCTTTCCTGCCTGTTGCGATAGGTAGGATAAGCTTTATTCCTATGAGAGCCAATTCCTTGATTTGTACAGTAAGTCCCATCACCTCTTGACTATTAAAAAATATTGAGCCCCCTTCTGTTATCATTTATTTTTTTCACTTTCTGTGGGATTATTCCCATCACAATACAAAGATATCTCTCATCTTAAAATAAGTCATCAAACTTCTCTTGACTCCACTTCCCTGCCATCTACTGATTTACTCTTGTATTTCACTTTGCAGCAAAACTCTCTGAACTAATTGTCTACATGTTCACTTTCTTCACTTTTTCTACTTCTATTCCTATTACATACCTTCTAATCAGCCATTTTCCCTTGCTACTTCATGAAACTCTTCTATTTCCCAAGTTTAATGGTCAATTCTCAGTCTTCATCTTATTCACTCTTCCTTTACTTACGAATGGTGTTTGATGTGATTGCTTTCTTCCCTTGTCCTTCATATACTTTCTGCTCTTAGGTCAAGATGCCACCTTCTCTTAGTTTTCTCCCTTTCTGATCACTCTTTCTCTGCTCCGTTCTTGGTAACTCCCATTCTTCTTTATCAGTCAAGGTTCAGGTGTCCCAGACCTTAGTACCTGGTTCACACACCCAATTTTGTTCCACATATATGTGCAAAGTTACCAATTATGTATCTCCAGAGCAGATCACTCCTGAACTCTAGACTCATATATGAAGATGCCTGCTTGATCCTTCCATTTGGACTTCCCACAGACATCTCAAATTCATGAAAAATCATCAAATAAAGCTCATCAAATCTCAAATTTATTTTCAGATAAAAGAAAAATTGAAATTCAATGTTCTACCCAGTCTTCTCCACTTGTTTCTTTCTCTATCTTACCTGATGGCAATTTCATCCTTTCAGTTGCTCAAGCTATAATCTTGGGATATATGGTGGACTCCACTCCTTCTCTTGCGTGTGTATCCAATTAGCAGGAAATACAGTTGGCTCTATCTTCAACTTATATTTATAGTCTCGCCTTCAGTGACTTCTCTGACCTCTTCTTCATTCTCTTTTCCCCCAGTTCCCTGGCCACTCGTTTATGGCCACAGTGGCTTCCATGTAGCATCTTGAGCACAGTAGCACTCTCCACCCTAGGTCACGTACAAGCTATTGTCTCTACCTGGAGCACTCTTCTCTCCCACACTTTTGTTCAAAAGTTACCTTCTCAATGAGGCCCATAGATTTCAAGTTGCAACTAGTCTCCTCTACTTGGCACCCTCTGAATTCCTTACTCTACTCTTTTTATTATCCTTAGTACTTTTGACATCATTATTTACTTATTTATGTGGCTTCTACTAAAATAGAAACTACAAGAGGACAGAAATCCTTGTCTGCTTTGCTCATCTGAAGTGTCCCACATGTCTAGACATTTTCTGGCACACAGTAAGTGCTTCATAAATGTTTGTTGAGTGAATGAATGAATAATTAGTTTGGTGCCTGGTACGTGTAAATGATTAATAAACATTAGCTATATTTGCAATTTCCATATTACCCCTCCACCTTGTGATGCTGCAAGTGGAGGGAGATCTTATGATATTACTGTTGTTTCCTTCTTTGCATCTTTGCTCATTATTGGCTTTATTGATTTCTACACATATTTGCCATCAGGTTGGCCAAGGCATTTGATTTAGACATTTTCAAGATCTTTATTATTATTTTCAATTTTCAATATTTGAAGATACATAGTTGCTTATTAGGGATTAAGGATCACATCCAATAACTTCCAGTCCCAGAAATAGACTTTAAATTATTCTTAATTACATTGCTTCTCTCAAACTTAAAATAACCATTTTACATTTTCAGGAATTTATTTTAGGAAGTCTCAGTAATGAAAGCATTTAATCAGAGAGTAAAAAGTTACAAAGTTAATGTACAGTCAACCCCCTGTATCCATGGTTTTGCATCCATGGATTCAACTGACAGTGGATTGAGAATATTTTTTAAAAAATGCATCTGTACTGAATGAACATCTACAAACTTTTTTTCCTTATCATTATTCCCTAAATGATGCAGTATGACAACTATTCACATAGCATTTACATGGTGTTGGGTATGATAAGTAATCTAAAGATGATTTAAAGAGTATGGGAGGATGTGCAGGGGTTATATACAAATAGTACAATGTATACAATGACAAAAACTATACCATTTTACAACAGACTCTTGAGCATGCATAGATTTTTATATCAGTGGGAGATCCTTAAACCAAGCCCCAAGGGATACTGAGGGGCAACTATGTAGTGCGACATACATTTATTGCCTCTTACTAATAAGTATCACATTTTGTCCAAATGTCACATTTTAAAAAAAGTATAGGAAATATTTTATTTTCTTCAACCAATGGCATTCCAGAATTAATGGCGCTTACTTTCTGATAAAAGTAAAAGATCAAAGGCAAAATGGTAAACCTCTAATTTTAACCTTCAATTTAAAAAACAGATTGTTCAAAGTAAAAACTTGTGGCTCCTGTGAGGAACTCAGAGCAGCATATTGGCATTTTTAAATACAGTTATATATAACATTATTAAGAAAAAAATAAAAAGATATTTTTAACTGCTGTATTACACTAGTAAGATAATGTTTGAACAACTGACAATGTATAGACTATGCCAACATTACTATGCTTCTCAGGTCTAACATTACATTATCATATTTAACTGTCCTGGCAGTATAATTACCTGAAAGATTTCAGCCATTAAGCCTGACACTTATATGACGTTCTTTAATATTAAAAGTACAGAAGATCTCATTTTCTTTTTTTTTTATTGTTTCTGAAGCAAGTGAATTGTGTGTGTGCTCTCTCTCTCTCTTTTGTTTTAAAAATTTTTACTTTTATTTTAGATTATATGCTTTTGAAATTAAATAATTCCTGGGGCTGAATCACCATATGTCCTTGGGGGATTTTTTTACACACTCAAAACCACAAGCCGAAGCTAGAATTTTAGTAGCTAATTCTCAGACCTTTGTCTGACAGGAAAAATATACAGAATAATATAAAAACAAGGCCAAGTGTGGTGCCTCACACCTGTAATCCCAGCACTCTGGGAGGTTGAGGCTGGTGGATCACTTGAGGTCAAGAGTCCAAGACCAGCCTGGGCAACATGGCAAAACTCCGTCTCGACTAAAAATACAAAAATTAACCAGGCATGGTGGTGCACACCTGTAATCCCAGCTATTTCGGAGGCTGAGGCACAAGAATGGCTTGAGCCTGGGAGGTGGAGGTTGCAGTGAGCCGAGATCACGCCACTGCATTCCAGCCTGGGTGACAGATGACAGAGCGAGACTCAAGTTTTAAATGCACAAGTGACAGTCACTTGCAGAAAATCCAAGTTTGGCTTTAGCTATATTATGAAAATATAAAGGTCTTTGCATTGGGTTGGGTCTTTTTTTTTTTTTTAACCTAGGGCTAATTGCTATAATAAAGGAGAGATCACTTTTTATCTTTATAACTGAAGACTATTGTGAATCGACTCTTTTTTTTTCTTTTTGAGATGGAGTCTCGCTCTGTCACCCAGGCTGGAGTGCAGTGGTGTGATCTTGGCTCACTGCAACTTCCACCTCCCTGGTTCAAGCAATTCCCCTGCCTCAGCCTCCCGAATAGCTGGGATTACAGGTGCCCACCATCACGACCGGCTAATTTTGTATTTTTAGTAGAGACGGGGTTTCTCCATGTTTGTCAGGCTGGTCTCGAACTCCTGACCTCAGGTGATCCGCTGGCCTCAGCCTCCCAAAGTGCTGGGATTACAGGTGTGAACCACCACTCCCAGCCTGTGAGTCAACTCTAGTTATCCTCTATTGTGAATTTTCTCTCATCATTTAGTGAATCTGAGACAAAGACTTACATCACTCTAAAAGATCTTACTTTATACTGACCCATTTTGTCTTGTGATTCTAGTTGCCCCATGAGATTTCTTTAGAGAATTCCTCTAGCCCATCTCTGACTAATAGAAATTCCTGTAATGATGGAAATGTTCATACAGAAACCACTGTCTCATACAGAAACCACTAGCCATACATGGCTATTGAACATCTGAAATATGGCTAGTGTGACCAAGAAACAAACTTTTAAATTTTACTTAACTTTACATAGTTTTGGAAACCAAAAATAAAATTCTAAGCCTCCCCAACCAACTGAATGGATCCCTCCTCTTGGACAAGGACATTCTAAAATAAACCAGAAACACGAGTTCAGGCCATGATGGGAATGAGTGGTCAGACATGCCTCATTTTGCCTTCCTTTCTTTGGAATTTGGGCATAGCTGACCAACATTAACATTAAAACTGCGATCTTAAGACTGACAGAGCAGACTCTTCAGGTCTGATAAGAAGCTTTTACAGTCTATTCTTTCTGAAGCCTGCTACCTGGAATAATGTGGCTCACGCCTGTAATCCTAGCACTTTGGGAGGCCAAGGTGGGTGGATCACGAGGTCAGGAGGTTGAGACCATCCTGGCTAACACGGTGAAACCCCATCTCTGCTACAAATACAAAAAATTAGCCGGGAGCGGTGGCAGGCGCCTGTAGTCCCAGCTACTCAGGAGGCTGAGGCAGGAGAATGGCGTGAACCCAGGAGGCGGAGGTTGCAGTGAGCTGAGATCGCGCCACTGCACTCCGGCCTGGGCGAAAGAGAGCAAGACTCCGTCTCAAAAAAAAAAAAAAAAAAAAAGAACCTGGATCTCCAAAACTGTTTATCTTAACCCAGAAACTCCCTTCTATTGATTCCAGGTCTTTAGAGAAACTCTTTCATCCAATTGCTATTCAGAAAATCTTTGAATACACCTAAGACCTGGAGGGCCAACCCCCATCCCCAACATAGAGTTGCACTGAGGTTCTGCATCCTGAACCAAAGCACATTTTACATGTATTGATTGATGTCATATGTCTCCCTAAAATGTATAAAGCCAAACTGTAGCTTGACCACCTTGGGCATATATTGTCAGGATCTCCTGAGGTTGTGTCACAGGCATGTTATTAACCTTGGCAAAATAAACTCCTAAATTGATCGAGATTTGTCTCAGGTACTTTTTGGTTTACAATTTAAATTTAAATAGCCACATATGGAAATTCTGGTTTTAGCTACAAAATGTAAAGTGCTTAGCTGGGCACAGTGGCTTGTGCCTGTAATCCTAGCTACTTAAGAGGCTGAAAAGGGAGGAATACTTGAGGTCTGGTGTTAAAAGAGAAACTTCAGCCAAATTAAATTTAAAGGAGTTTAATTGAGCAATGAATGATTCACAAATCAGGCAACCCCCAGAATCACAGCAGATTGAGTGAGACTCCAGAGATGCTTCATGGTCAGAACTAATTTATAGACAAAAAAAAGGAAATCGGCGGTGAGGTACAGAAACAGCTGTATTGGTTACAGGTTGGTGTTTGCCTTATTTGAACACAGTTTGAACACTTAGCAGTCTATGAGTGGTTGAAGTATGGCCACTGGGATTGGCCAAGGCTCAGCTCAGCTACTGTTACAGGCACATACTCTTAAGTTAGATTTTCAATCTTGTCTGCCTATTAAGCTAGGTTACAGTTCATCCGCAATAACTCAAATATAGAAGTATGGAGTCCTTCTCAGGCCATATTTAGTTTGCTTTAACACTGGTAAACATAGCAAGACTCTCGTTTTCAAAAAAAAAAAAAAAGAGCTTGGAAGTAGTTACTGCTGTCTTTGAAACAAGGAAACAGAAGAACAACTTGTAATTAATCACTTTTCTTTGAGCCAGAAACTGGTAGGAACATTTAAATTAGTAACTTTCATGAATTGTTGAAGCTGATTGTGAACTAGGATGAGAGTGAGAAACTTGTAAAGGATGCAGTCTTGGAGGACCTCTCACATTTTCTTGGGATTTCCAAATGAATCTCACAATGAAGAGCCAAAATCCTCTCCAGGCTCTGAGAGAGGGAGAGGAAAATAACCTTTGTGAAATACACCTGGAGCAATCTCCATGACAAAGGCCTCCACTGCAAGGGAAAAGACTTTACCTCAGCCTTATCTGGCCTACAGGAAAGGCATTCCCTAACATCTTCTAGCCTTCCTGAATGACCTAATCATAAGATTAAAGAATACCTCTCTACCACGTACACATTAATGGCAGGCCAAAAGGGCTCCAGTATGACAGCAGTGAATTACAACGCAAAGAATGCCAGATGTAGGCTCTATTTAAGGAAGAATTGTTAAGGAAGCACAAAAACAACAGTGGAGACAAAACAAGGACACTAGTTAACGTTGGTCTCTGACATATACTACTATAACAATCATTAAACATTAATGTGTGGTTTTATGTTAGTCTGGCTAGGAGTTAGATTATTTTTAGGGCCTATTTACTTCAGTTCATTTCAACTGATACACTCCTTCTGGCTTTCAACAAAAAATTACAAAGGAGTAGAATAGTAGTTACTAGAGACTGGAAAGGGTAAGGTTACAGTTAGATGGGGAAGTATAAGTGCTGGCATTCATAGTCTGTAGGTTAACTATAGGTAACAATAATTTAGTATATTTTCCAATACCTAGAAGAGAGGATTTTGAATGTTTCCAACACAAGGAAATTATGAGTGTGTATTTGAAGTGATAGATATGCTAATTACCCTGATTTGACACATGACATACCTACTGAAATATTATGCTGTATTTCATAAATATGTACAATGATTACATCTCAAGTAAAAATATCAATAAAATAAGAGGAATGCTAAAAAGCAACAACAAAATAACATGTTTTGAAGAGAAAAAGCACGCATCAGAACTAGACTCAGATATGACACAGGTTTTGGAATTAACAGACAGAATTTAAAATAACAATGATGAATATGTTAAGGGCTCTATGGAAAACACGCAAGAACAGATGAAAAATTTAAGCAGAAAAATGAAAGTGCTAAGAAGGAATAAAGAGGAAATGGTAAAGATCAAAACCACTGTAACAGAAATGCAAAAATGCCTTTGATGAGTTCATCAGTAGACTGGACACAGATAAAGAAAGAATCAATGAGTTTGAAGATATGTCATTAGAAATTTCCCAAACTGAAATACAAAGAGGAAAGAAGTCAAAATCCACTAGTAGAAATTCTTGGAATGGTGATTATCACTTTTTCACATCCCATGGTAAAAGGCAAAGTGAAGTGGATGTATTTTTTTGGATATCTGGCATTCACATATTAATAATGCAGAAGTTATAGGTACTGATTTAAATATCTGCATAATGTATAATACAGCTTTTATTGAACAGAAAATGTAAATTCAGAGGATAGTTAAAAGTGTGAAACTGTATTTTAGATCCCGTAAGTATTTGTGTGGTCTGTAGATATTCACATCCACATTCAGGCAGTCACCTCTAACACTGAAACTATTTAAATTCTTCAAAAGATGTCAAAATCAACTTGGTTATCTATCTATCTATCTGTCTCTACCTATATCTATATTTATCTGTATCTATGTTTCTGTCTTAGTTCAGTCAGGCTGTTACAACAACATATAATAAACTGTGTGGCTCATAAACAACAAATATTTATTTCTCACAGCTCTGAAGGCTGGAAAGTCCAAGATTAAGGTGCTGGCAGATTTGGTGTCTGAGGAGCGCCTGTTCCTCAAAGAGGACATCTTCTAACTGTATCGGCTCATGGTGGAAGGGGCCAATGATGTTCCTTGAGCCTATTTTATAAGGGCACTTATCCCATCCAGGAGAGCTCTGTACTCATGATCTAATCACCCACCAATGACCCCACCTCTTAATATCATCACATTTGGGATTAAGTTTTGACATATAAATTTGGGGCAGATATAAACATTCAGATGATAGCAAATTTCTAGCTATAAAGTCTTTTCCTTGAGCTTGGTCTTGTGCCAATTACTGTTTCTACTCTTGTGTTACAAAATGAATCTAGATTTTCCTCTACTAAGGAATATAACCCATCTTAATTTACCCTATAGAAGTAGATGGATGTTATCCAGTAATTACAATTCACGTTTTCAAAATCATAGTTTAAAAACAGAATATTGTCTTTCATTATTTCTGTCCGTCACCCATACTCTCTCTCTTAATCATTAGCACCTTCTCATTATTGTTATTTCTACTACTTTAAGTACATAATAAGAAATAGTAGAGAAAAATCCAAATGTGATAATTTTGCTTTGTAAAAAGATTATATTTTTATCAAAATTAATTCATACATAGATCTGCATTTTCATTTTTCCATGTTATCACCAAAGCCTATTTCCATAGATAAGAGCTAGTTATCTATGATAGCGAATTTGTGAAAGTCATCAATATCTATTATTAGCTTCTCTTTTCCACATTTTTTGACTTATTTGGAACAATTTAATGAATCTTCAAGTTGGATAAGTTTTTATCATTATATATAACAATTTAATAAATAATTCCTTGAGTCTTTATAGCACTTACTTTTTAAAAAGCGTTCATGCATATTATGTCAACTACACTTACCAATTGTTTCACCAGATTGACCAGAGTGACTATTCTTCAAATCAGGTAAAGCAAGTCTTTGTTATTCAAATAGAAACATGGATAGTAATGGAAATCAAAGCTATTTATTCTGCAAACTCGGGCAGCATAACTGTGGTATTTTTCATCAGCACAAATTATGAGGTGCTGAAATGATTGGGCATTTGAGAACTTTACTCACAGTTTCCTCCCCACTCTTTCCCCTGACTCTTCATCAGAGCCACAATACCATCATTGGCACAGATTTCGGAATTCCCAGTTTTTATTCAGTGTGCCAAAAATTAAATTAGTGGTTTAAGGTTTGAGCCATCTTTAAGTTGGAAACACAGGGAATGGCAGTATTTTTAAAAGCTCAACCAAAATGTCTGTATGGGCAAAAGTCTAAAACGTTTTATCTTAATGTAACTAACAAGTGTCCTGATAATTCTTCTATCCTCTGATTTTATCTGTCAGCCTAATTAATTTCTTGTTTCGTTGATAATATAAATTTAAGCTAATGAAAAATTATATTCAAGGTATAATCAATGAATATAAAGTAGAATAGCAGAAAGTAGCTGTGGCCATAACTAAAAGTTGACATGGTTAACTTTGTCACTAATAAAGCATGGATCAGTGATGCAGTTTATCAAGACAGTTTATTACATCTACTGCTAAAATAATCAACGTGTTTAGAATCCTGTTGATATGAGACATATATAAAATTATAGTGCTTGATTCATTCAATCATTTTTAACAGTTATTAAATACCATTCTAAGGACTAAAATGGGAGCTAAATGAATGGAACTTGGATCCTGGCTCCAGCAGAAACAGTTGAAAGCATGAAGGGGGCTTTGAAACACCATAGGCAGACCTTATGTGAGTGAAAGAAAACAAGTCAAAAAGATTTAGTCAGTGTAATTAGCCTGGTTCTGAAAGCTTATTTGGGGAGATATTTCTACAAATTACACATTTTTAAATCATTTTACAGACATCTAGGTCTACCAATACATTTGGTCTTGTAGAACCCATCTTAATAATTTATGTTCTAATTTCTCATGTCTTATTTCATTCTTTGATTTTTGGAAGGAAGTTATAGAGAAAAGATGCTCTTAATTTTTTGTTCTTTGGCTCAACTTAATAGTATATCATCATTCAGAGGGATCAACATCAATTCCTGCATCCCTGTTGTTGATGGGATCAACATTTTTTTCTCTGTTGATTCAAAAATCACTTGTCTTCACATCTACTCCTGTCTTTTCTTTAGAGACAGGCTCATTTTTGCTTAAAGATATGATGCAAATGAAAGGAATACATTTGTAAAAATACGATTTCTGTAGCTCTTTATTTTCTCTAACTCTAAAATTTTACTTGTAAATATCAATTATATTATCCAGTCTTTAAGAATCACTAATAGAAGAAGCATTATTAGAAAAGATAATTAGATAAGGCCTCAACAGTGATGACTTTTAAACAGCACTTTTGCAATATGATGTTCTGAAGAAAATATGATTAGTGGTTACTATAATGTTTACAATGTCATTTACCTGAACATTGACCTTTACCTTTACATTGATCAACATCAATCCCATCAACAACACGGACGCAGCAGAAAATCTGCAAGCAAGTGCTTAAAAATAATTTAACAAATGATGTTAAAGTTCTGAGGATTCAAGCCTAAGAGGTTGATTCAGGAAAAAGAAGCAAGAGTTTCAATTTTAGTCATTTATTTTATAGAAGAAAGTCATGGGCAATTTGGGGGATGAAGCAACAAATCTAATATTATGGAAGCGGAAGAGATGGTTGGAGATTCTTTAAGTCTCTCCAGAATACTTGATCATTAAAACAACAGAGCAAGTTTCTTATCTGAGAGCTGATTAATGAGTGTCTGTCCTTCGAATCACCAAAGAAGTGATTAAGAAATTAGGGACCAATCTGTTTTGCCCTGTTGCAAAACGGTTTCCATCTGAAAGAAGTTAATAACTCCCCTTGTCAAATCATAAATTCAAATGGATTAATATTTCACATTTCTAAAATGCTCCTGAAGAATAACTTGTCTTAATAAAATATCTTAGTAAGTCTCAGGAAATACACACACATACATACACACATATCATATATATTATAGAAAATTTAACTTACTTTGTATAGTGTTTATTGGTTTAACATCATACACCTGCACAGTGGGGAAAATCCTTGTCCACCATCTGTCCATTATGATATGAAATGAATTAAAGACCATTAAACCATCACCTTGTTTTAAAAATATAAAAATCAGAAATGGAGTCTTTGAGAGTGTGTCCCTTTATTTATCTACAAAAATGACACAAATGTAAAGTTCAGGTAAATGACATTGTAAACATTATAGTAACCACTAATCATATTTTCTTCAGAACATCATATTGCAAAAGTGCTAATTAAAAGTCATCATTGTTGAGGCCTTATCTAATTATCTTTTCTAATAATGCTTGTTCTATTAGTGATTCTTTAAGACTGGATAATATAATTGATATTTACAAGTAAAATTATAGAGTTAGAGAAAAAATAAGGAGCTAGAGAAATCACATTTTTACAAATGTATTCCTTTCATTTGCATCATATCTTTAAGCAAAAATGAGCCTGTCTCTAAAGAACAGACAGGAGTAGATTTGAAGACAAGTGATTTTTGAATCAACAGAGAAAAAAATGCAAGGCAGTGTTGCTCTATATTAATATGATATTGATTCAAATTATAATTGCAGGACTGAGTAGTTCCTACTGAGGAATGGTTTTATTCCTGTTTTATAAAACATGTCAAATAAGATTTTGAAATCATTAACTGAATTAGTTTTATAGTCTTCATTGGCATTTCTGAGGGTTAGATGTTTAAATTTTCCTACATTGCTTTTGCTTGATTCAGAGAACCATTAAAACCATGGTTGCCTTCAAATGTCATTATTTGTCTAGAATAAATTCTAAACTGGAACTTTCTTTATAACTAAAATAAACACTCCCAAATCCAGGAGTATTGTTCACTCTAACTCAGTGTACATTCCTCAACTCATTTTATTAGGCATTCTCTTCCAAAGGAAAAACACAAAACTAAACTCACCAAAATAATAAAAAGATTATGAAAAGACAGAGAATCTTTACAGTTTACCGCATTTAATACTTATTTAACATATTCTGAGGAGCTCAAGGTCCTCCTTTGTGATGTTTTCAGTGACTTTGGTAACAGACTCTGAGGTGTCATGGGCAGAATTGTCACACTCGTTTCATAATTACAAGAGAAAACGAAAGTGAAGGTACTGATCATATTACATAGACTCAAAGAATATAAGAAGAAATCCTAGAAAAACACACATCTTAGTTAGCCTTTTTAGCCAGTCATAGTTTCATGTCTTTCTCTGGGGCTAGGTACAGTTAACTCAATTCCTTTGGGGATAGGCTTTTAGGCAAAAGCATTGCACTTTATTTCTTTCTCTTTCATCTAACAAAGAACCAACACAAATTTAATAGGAATGGAGGGGAAAAAGAACATTTCAAACTAACATTGTCTGCCCATTATTTCATTTCATGGTAACATGCTTCTGTTTTTTATGTATAGGCAGTCATAATTTGTACATTTGAGTTCCAAACCTCAGCACACATTAAAAAGGAGATATTTCATTTATACCTTGTAAGAACTGGATTTATGGTGAAATAAAATGAAAAGAGTGCTTAGAAAAATAACAACAAAAACCTTCAAAACCAGTGAAAGGAGTTAGCCAGCTTGCTTTAGGCAGACAGTAAGGGAAGGGTCCCTGGAAAACATCCGACCTAACCCACAAGTGCCTACACCAGATATTTTGTGCAGATAAGGGAACTTGTACAGCAGGCTTGCCTAAACATGCCCGGAGAAGATTAAGGGTCCACATGCACGCTAGGGGGAATGGGGCAGAGCCACCTGGAATTTATGCCTTATACAAATAGGGAACCCAGCTCCATCAGCTTATATATATATAAGCCCTTGTACTGCGAAGGAAAACTGGCAACCTGCTTTCAGGATGCCCCTTTTTGCTGAGAGCTTTCCTTTTCACTTAATACATTCTACTCCACTCACTCTTCGAGTGTCCACGTGCCTGATTTTTCCTGGTCATGAGACAAGACAAGAACCCAGACCTAGATGAGCTAAGGAGATAAAATCCTTCATCACCAGCAATGAACCAAAGGCTCCAAGGGGAAAAGTTGTGTTCATAAACACCAACAAAAAAATTAGAAACAGACCATGGTGATAGTTGCACTGGCTCACAGCTGTCATCCTCAAAGTATTTGCCAGTTGGAAGGAAAATTACAGGGACCAGTGTGAAATTTGAAAACTTTCCTATAGCATTAGACTTCACTGGTGAAGAGAAATGCATCAACCTCACCGAGTACCAGAAGCATCCTTTGAACATCAGCAAAATAACTATTACTTCTATGAAATAAAGTCTCCTACTGCAACAAAACCCTAAATTAAAATGTTGGAAGAAGCAGTTGGTTTTATAACCTCCAAAAGAAAAGTTAACAAAAAGCAAACAAACCACCATTCTGTATTAGTTTGCTAGGGATGCCATAACAAAATACCACAAACTGGGTAGATTAAGCAGCAGAAATTTATTTCCTCACAGTTCTAGAGGCTGGAAGTCCAAGATCAAGGGGTCAGGAGGGTTAGGTCCTTCTGAGACTCTTTCTTGGCTTGCAGATGGCTGCCCTATTGCTGCCTCTTCACTTGGTCATTCCTTTGTGTGCTCTCACCTCTGGTAGCTCTTGCTTTTCTTTTCTTTCTTTTCTTTTTCTTTCTTTCCTTTTTTTTTTTTTAAACGGAGTCTCACTCTGTCGCCCAGGCTGGAGTGCAGTGGCACGATCTCGGCTCACTGCAAGCTCCGCCTCCCAGGTTCACACCATTCTCCTTCCTCAGCCTCCCAAGCAGCTAGGACTACAGGCACCTGCCACCACGCCCAGCTAATTTTTTGTATTTTTAGTAGAGACGGGGTTTCACCATGTTAGCCAGGATAGTCTCGATCTCCAGCTCTTGCTTTTCTTATAGGGACATCAGTCATTTTAGATTAGGGCCAAACACTAAAGGCCTTATTTTAACCTAATCACTTCTTTAAAGACCTTATCTCCAAAAACATACTGGAGATTGGGACTTCGACATGAATTTGAGAACACATTTCAGACCATAACACTCTCTCCCCTCCCAAAAAGACAAGAAAGACCTTTTACAATAAATCTTTTGACACTGAGCGTTTTTTTTACCCCTTCTAACTCCCAATTAGTAACTTTCTGGATTTCAAAGAATCAGATTTTAAAATTGCTATAAAGCTTGCTAAGAGCATTCAAAAAAAGGCAGGCATTATAGGGAAGTAAACCTTGACTGCTGTAGAATTGAGAGAATCTTTGCTCTGCTGATTGGGGGTCATTTTTCTGTGAGCTAGAGAGAATGCTTTTGTGATTTGAGAGCCACCTGAAATGTTAAGAAAGTTTGGGTAACTGCAGGGACTGTCATTGCCTCCTCAGCACGTGCTGTGCCCCTCTCCTATTGCACAGCAGCAAGCACTTTGAAGGACTGACCCCAGTCCATGAAACCTAATCCACTGCCTATGCCTATCTTCCAATCTGCATATACAGGAGTTGTCAGTTACATTGATTGGTTCAGAAGTGTTCACATGAAATACTTTGGTTCAAACAAGATGAAGCCAAAAATTTTTGACTATTGGTAAAAAGGTAGTTATCTTTTTACTTAATCTAAGACATTCTTTTTATAATTGGACAATATTATAGGAAGATGTGATACTTACAAATGCAATCACTGTTTGCAGGCACAAAAAAAGTTAAGTCACAGAATGAAGCTTTTCATGGAATATAAAAGAGCCAGTAGAATTGTAAAAAACTGAGTGACTTGATCAGACTATACCCAGAGTCCACTAACCTCTGAACTCTTAAATTAATACATTTACTTTCCTTGAGAGAGTTTAAGATGTACATTCTGTCTCACACAATCTTACTTTACAAAAAAGTAAAAACATGTTTACTTTTATGCCTTATAATTTTCAACTAACAAGTAAAAAGTAACTAAGTACTGTTTGTTTGCTTTTATATTACTGTTGGAGTCTAAGAAAAATCATAATTTTTAAAAATAAAATTAGACCAGATAATTTGACTATATAAATGACTAAAGGGAATAAGAAGAACTAAAAACTCAGCATTAACAGATCACCATTTGTGAAAATGATTTTGCTACTCTGTGCTCATGTATTTCTATCACTTTTGCTAATATCCAACTTTAAGGAGCACAGTGAATATTATTAATTTGATACTATAAACATGTGTTGAGCTCTGATTTAAAGAGTAATATAAACTATCATCACCCATTATGAGGAAGCAAATGTTGTGTCAAACAGATTAACCATTGGATTGAAAACATCTCTTCTACTTTTTCCTCTCACTCATATTGAAAACTACTGCTAAAATGAGGTTAATGTGGCAGAAACATACAGTCTGATGATCAAATCCAGAAACAAAAGATAAATATAGTAGCTCCCCCTCCAGGAGAATTAAGATTTTAATCATTTCCTCTCCAGATTGAGATTGGCTGCTGGCCATTACTTAGCAAAAGAAATGTCTCTGAAAGGGGCAGGAAATTAAAATGCAAATGGTATAAAGAAATAAAGACATTCTAATTTTTTTAAATGACAGCAGTGATTCTAGCATCCATAATTGAAAACTGTAAGGAAACTGGAGAGGTGAGATTCATGACAAAGTGATAAATGAGAGATCTCAGGAGGTTGGTAGTATTTCCCATAGTCTCATTTAACAAATTAATGTTTTTGTCTCGCCTGACTGAAGACCTTTGTAAAGGTCTGAGACTTAATGGTCATTATCTTGATTCAGATACCATTGTAGCAGAAATCATAGGATTTGTATTTTCTAACCAAAATCAGTCTGACTCTGATTTTTCAGAATATTTCTCAATTTCATACTTGGGAAGAGACCTGAAAAGTATTTGTAACTTTTTCTCACATTGTCTACTCAAGAGAATCCTGCACACTTAGAAGAAGTGTTAGTTTTTCCAATATCCCCCAAATATAAATTAGTGCAAGGCATCAGTTAATGTGTAATGTCCTTTTGTGATTTTAAGGACAAGAGGATAGGGAAAAATGAAGCAGCTGGCTCAGGGAGGGGCACAGAGCACATCCAGATGAGATGAAGGGAATACAGTCCCAGATGGTCTGATAGGCTGTTCAATTTCTGATGCTCTTCAAAAGTTGTTTATATGTATTTCTTTACCAAATTTGGATTCTTAAAAATTTGTCTTGCCAACTACCTATGACAATTAAATACTTTTTGTAAGTACCCCAATTTTATATCTACTTATTAAGCAGGAGAAATGGAAGGATGTTTTTAAAGGCACTTCATTACTTTTACTGATGAGAAGAATTACTGGTTTCTCTATCATACCTAAACATTCTGAGTCCATTTAGGACTGTTCCTAATTGGATTTCTGTAGTTTTCCTGGAAGGTTCCCAGATGCAGTTTGCCTATCCTCTGTGAGGCAAAGCTCAGCTTTAACTGAACCGTGTTCGTGGGAATGCAAACGCTTTTTATGTTATGCTTCTCAGGTATTGCTTTGAATATATATGCATTTTTAGCAACTTTCTTCTGAAAAGCAATAATTATCTATTTACAACTTTATCAACTGAATGGTCAATCGTATTAAATTATTTGTACTTGGCAGAATATTCGTAGGCAAAGTCTTACAACAAATCATAGTCCAAAATGACTACATAGAGAATCAGTGTGCTGTGACCCTAAGTAGACAGGCACTTAAGTAAGTCCTAATGCAGTCCCTTTATCTTAAATGGTAGGGGCTGGAGAGCAGATTGTGTTAAAAGGACATTTTATAAAATTATAATTATCCAGATTTTTCAAGCCCCACTCCAATGATTCATTTATTCAAAAAATATTTATTGAGCAGTTGCCGTGTACCAGGAGCAAGGCTTTTAATTATGAACAAAACAGACCTCACCCTGACCTTCCCAGTACTTTTGGTCCAGTGGAAGAGATAGGCAGTGACATAAGCACTTAGAACTCAATACAAGGAGTGCTATGAGGGGTACTCTAGAAGACAGGGTGGGTGCCAGATGCCTGTGGGAGCGATATCCACATATAAATCTAGGTCATTACACAGATCTTCAAATCTGAACCTCAGGGATTATGTCTGGGCTGGATTTTTAGACTTGGATGTTACCAGCATATACAGCGTGTAATAGGTAAAAACTATGACAGAGTAAGATATGACCCATTAGATAAGCCTATGATCAAAGACAGAATCCTGGGTAGCACCAGACTTTAAAAGACAGGCTCCTTCCCTATGGTTTCTCAAAATATAATGCTGATCTCTCCCTATGTAAAAATGGGAACAGTTTCAATGGCTCTAAATATATCTCTAAATTTTTTTCTACAAGCCCTGGCATCAGGTGGACCTGTGAATAGATGCATCCTCTGATCCCATTTTGAATGCTTCTCTACTTCATCTCTCTAATGTCCTTCCTGGTATTTCTTCAAGATTGCTATTGTTTTCTATCCCAAATTATGGAGCTTGAGAAATCGTTTTATGGTAAGAAGCAGGCTCTGGTGATTAAAATAGTTTCAAAGCTCACAGTTATGTCTTGATTATATAACTCCTTTTATACTGGATCGTTGCTTCCTGGAGAAAAAGAAAGGGTAAAGTATTCCTTAGGTTCAAAATATCGTAGCTGAAACTCAGAGCTCATGAGAGATATGGATAGTGAATCTGAATATAACAAAACTCAGCTCACAGCTTTGTGGAACTGGTCTCTTGAGAATTTAGGGGAGTTTTGTTCTGCAAAACTTTGGAACAACGATTCCTTCCAGTGAACTAGCATATAGATGTACTCTGAAGCCATTTGCAGTGCCCTGAAGCAAGGAGGAAGGCAGAACTGATGTCTCTACCTGATAAAATCTTTAAAGAAGGCTGGTCCCTTAAAGTATGTCTGCATTTGGCCTGATAACAGGAAAACAATTTCATTTCACTTTAGGCACCAAGGACAAGAAAGGCAAGTATAATTTCTTCATTCTCTTTGACAGATTTTCATTTCTCTCTGTTACAATGTGATTATCTTCTTCAGATATTGTAATGTATTTTGGAAAAAAAATTCTATTATACATAATTATAATGGCCTGGCCCATGGAATGAGGCTCATATTGAAGTAGAAGTTACCCTAAAGATAACCCACTATCAAGTTTAATCAAAGAATTAAAGCCTCAAGCAGGGTTCTCCTCACTTTCCCTTTCAGTTTAAATTTAAAGTGTATTTTAGCCTTCAAAATGACTTCAGGTTAAAACATTTTTCTTGGTGTTACCCACTCTGCTAAGTTTGAAAATCATATTTCCAAAGTATCAATTAGCATTCTATTTGGTATCTGCAAATCTAAATTGTGGAATCACACTTTTCCTTGCCGTAGCCACGTTGATAAAGATAATTAGAAAGCTTATATCAGTGATACAGCTCAAATCTCAAGACAAATCAAGTAACTTGCTATTATAAAACTTCAAAAGCTAAAACAGGAACAAAGTAGGAGTGTTAGAGTGTTATATTGCCCTTACCCCCAGTCCTAGGGAATGATATAAACCTTTCATTATAATTATTCCTATCAGGTCAGCTCCACACAGCTCATGTAATAGGTTTTAACTGTTCACAGATCCACGGTATTCTGGAAAGAGGTGAACAGTCTTCACATTGGTGCTGCAGATGGAACACAGGGCAATTTTTAGTGGCACGTGGATTAGTCTCTACTGCAACTGTGCCTTTTCTCCACTTTAAGAAATTGTTGAGCCTGAGCTGGCATCACCTCCTTCAATCCATCCTACACACTGCTGCCAGAATAAATCTCCAAAAGCACAGCTCTGGTTCTGTCATTCTCCTTCTTAAAACCCTCTGTACCTGGTCCAAGCCTGATGATTAAAGTGCACATCAGGCCTCCAAAGCTTTGCACCATCTAGCCCCTCACAGCCCATTGTTCTCTTTCACACACTAGAGGCTCAGGAAGATCAAGTCCTCTTTTCAGTTGGTGCCTCACACCTCCTTCTCCTTTTCCTTTTTCCTCGGAATGCTGGATTCATCACGCTCTGCACTAATTTCCATATTTTAAAGTCCAGGTCTATCAAAAATGCCACTTTGTTTACAATGACTTCCCTGATTCCTAATTGCTCCAGCTGGAATCACTCCTTCATTCTGAATTCTAATGTCATTTTACCTGAAACAGACACCATTTAGTATAGCACACCAGTATAACACCATACTACTGACACCATTTTCTCTTTTTGTATTCTATTCTTGGACATGACTTATCCGTCCTAAGAGAATCAAGACCCAGGTAGGCAGAGTTTATCTTTTGCTCTAGAAGTATAATTATTACAAATTATAGAGAATAGAATGATGGTTACCACAGGCTGGGAAGGGTAATGGAGAAGGGGGGTAAAGAGGGGAGGGTTAATGAGTATGAAAATACAATTAGATAGAGTAAAATCTAGTGTTTGGTGGCACAATAGGGTGACTATAGTTAACAATAACTTATTGTATATTTCAAAATAACTAAAAGAGTGGAATTGAAATGTTCCTAACACAAAGAAATGATAAAAGCTTAAGGTGATGGATACCTCAATTACCCTGATTTGATCATTACACACTGTATACTGTATCCAAACATCACATATACATAAATATGTACAACTATTATATATCTACAATAATTATAAATAAAACAATTTTTAAAAATTCAGGCAAAGAAATGCTTGCTTTTGATGGAATGCACAGATATATTTTTTCTCACAGTGTTCATGCTTCAATAAGGTTTATTCTCAGCTCTGCTGACAATTACAAATAATTGAGTTTTGTTTGATGCTGATAATATACACACTCCTGATCTAAGGCAATGGGAGTTCTGTGATTTAGTGAAATTGCAGTACTTCTCTAGAAGGGTTATACTGAGAAAACATTTGTTTCAGGTTTTAAAATTATTCACTCATTTGGGCTAAAAGGGATGGAGGAATGAATTTTAAGTTAATATTTTCATTTTATCCCCATAATGTTCCATTGTAGTTTCTAATAGAGACTTTTTTTTTTGTCTGCCTTAAACTTGGTTACATGTCATCTAAATTAGTAATCATGTTCTTCATTTAAAAAAAATGCTCTCTGGTGATAGAAGAATTAAATTTAATTCAACAAAATTGCATGGAATACTGACTCTGTACATAATAAAAGCAGTCTATTATTTTCAAGTAGTTCAAAAAAAATTTTTTTTTTTTTGGAGTCTCACTGTGTTGCCCAGGCTGCGGTACAGTGGCAGAATCTTGGCTCACGGCTCACTGCAACCTCCACTTCCCGAGTTCAAGCAGTTCTCCTGCCTCAGCCTCCTGAGTAGCTGGGATTACAGGCACATGGCACCACACCTGGCTAATTTTTGTATTTTTAGTTAGAGACAAGGTTTCACCATATTGGCCAAGCTGGTCTCGAACTCCTGACCTCAGGTGATCTGCCCACCTCTGCCTCCCAAAGTGCTGGGATTGCAAATGTGAACCACTGTGCCTGGCCTCAAGTAGTTAAAAGTCTAACAGCCCACATTTTAAGCCAGGGTCACATAAGACTAGTTAGAGAACATTTTGCTGGGATTTCTGCGCATGTACAGACTCAGAATAAAGGCAATACATTTGGTTAAATGTTCATGTATCTACACTACTATAGGAGTGGCCACTTTTTAAAAATTTTACTGTCTTTTCAACCCTATTACAAAATACATACTCTCTGGAGTAATATAAACCTCAGGCAGTACAAAATTGTTACAACTTGGGCTTCTCCAGGGCCACTCCAGGCTTTGGAACATTTAAGTGTTTTGATAGGGTCAATGAAAGTATCAAGAACTCAGGAATCAATAGCCTTCAGAGCCCATTTCCACAGCTCGACTGATTATACCATGTAATTTTTACTGAAAGCGAAACTGTAAATTTGAAAAAGCCAGCAATCTGAATCTGTTTTGATGCATTACAGAGTACTCCCTCATTTTAATTATCCACCTTAATGGAGAAACTTGCTTGATGATTAAATTCCCCAGAGCTACGTGGAGCTGTTAGAATCAAATAGTTGTGGAGATAGGAGGGACTTTGGCAATCTTTCTAGACCCAATTTCCTATTCTGTAGGTTGGAATCTGAGACCCTGAGTGCTAATTACTCAAGATCATTTAATCAGCTAGAACTTAGATTTTTACATTCCAAGCTTAGTGATAAGTCTATTGCACTAAACTGTTGGAAAGACTTTTAGTCACCATCAGCTTTGTGAGATATTTGGTGTGTTAGAAAGCGTTTTTAAGGAAGGACTGGACTTCAATTAATTGCACATGGGCTGCCCAGTTTCAATATTTTTTTTTTCTTTCCAACATAAAAGTTGCTTTTAAAGTCTTTGCTTTGTAGTGTTTCTAAAACTAATTTTCGCTTCGGTACTCTTTATCCCATGTTCGGTGGTTCTTTTACCTTTATCTCTGATGCAGAAACATATCAAATGCACTTTTTTTTCTGAAATATTAACTATATCGTAGTCCCAGATCATCTTTTATCTAGTGTGGCTGTGATATATTCAAAGAACTCCTGCAGATTATTTATGCAAGCCTGAATCCGTCATGGCTGGATGTCATCAACTGATGTGTTAGCACTCTGTATGAGATTTTTTGAAAAACTCCTAGGGTCTTCATCATTCAATTAGCACAGAAAGGATGAAGAGTTAAGAAATCTTCACTCTAGATCCTACTAGTGGCAAATGTTCACATTGCTTCTAGATATATGAAGAAGACTTACTTCTCTCTTTGGGTTTAATAACTACAGTTATAAGTATCCTGAAGCTTAAGTTTTCTCAGAAAACACACCAAGCTTTGGTATTTTCATTTTCCACAGTTGCTCATCTTTTTCTTTTGCTTTAGGACAAACATGAGGATAATGAAAATTTGGGACCAGGTGCAGTGGCTCATGCCTATAATCCCAGCATTTTGGGAGGCTGAGGCAGGCGGATCACCTGAAGTCAGGAGTTCCAGACCAGCCTGGCCAATACGGTGAAACCCCACCCTACTCCATCCACTAAAAATGCAAAAATTAGCCGGGTATGGTGGCGTGCACCTGTAATCCCAGCTACTCGGAAGCTGAGGCAGGAGAATCGCTTGAACCCGGAAGGTGGAGGTTGCAGTGAGCCGAAATCAGGCCACTGCACTCCAGCCTGGGCGACAGAGTGAGACTCCATCTCAAGAAAAAAAAAAAAAGAAAAATAAAAAAAAAATTGGACAGGTAGGGAGAAAAGATCGTGCTACTATGATATTGGATGACAAAAAGGGGGAGAGTTGCTTTATCCTGTATGTGAGAAGGTAATTGTGTTTGCACTGATTGTTACTCTTGGCCTGTTAAATCTTTGCTTTCTATTTAATTTCTGAAAGAGAAGCATTTGTGTGTAAGGTATTTTATATTTCATTATGATATAATAAAGGAGCTAAAGCAAGCTTGATTAAATTACAGCTATTCAAAGACAGGGAATTTTCAGTTCCAAATTTGGTGTTGTACAATTGGGCTTGTCAATTAGCAGCAATAAAACCTTGGCTTGAGCAGACCCATGAGCATATTCAGCTGGCTCCTGGATTCATCTTTTGAAATAAATTTAAACTGCATTTTACCATTTTACAATAAAACAAAACTTTCACCAAGTAGTAATACTGTTTTCTGGTAACATGGAAAAGAATGAGAAGGTACATAAACTAGAAATTTGGAGATATCCCTTTGCCTTCTTTCTGTGACAAAGTGGCACTCCAGAATTAATTTATTTCTCTTTAAATGTAGTTCTAAAAAGGAAAAGCAAATAACATTTACCATATGCATGATGAATAAAAAGTTTTTTTTAACTTACCAAATTATTAAATTCCTGGGAAGTACAGGCATTTAAACTAGACTAAAAAGATATAACCCCTCAGATTTTCCTTTGTCGTTTGAACATTTTTTATTTTTATGTTTAAATTAGGCCCACATTTTAAATTTTGTGTTTAAAAGGTAACCAGCATCATTAATAAATACTTTCCAGGATTGACTGTGTACTAAATTATAAAGTAGATAGAAATGTTCTTCAGCTATCTGCAGCCCAGTAGATAGAATAGGATATCACTTAGATCATTTTTACAAAGCTGCATGGCCCAGAGTAGCCCCTGCAGTTGAGAAGCTCATGTCTGATAAAATAAGGTAGATCATGTCTCTTCTGTTCAGTGCTACCACTCCTTCCCATCTCACTTTGGAGTCAAAATCTGGCCCAGTGTGGTAGCTCATGCCTATAATCCCAACACTCTGGGAGGTTTAGGTGGGGTCCCTGGAGCCCAGGAGTTCGAGACCAGCCCTGGCAACATAATGAGACTATCTCTACAAATAATTAGTGGGGATGGTGTCATATGCCTGTAGTCCCAGATACTTGGGAAGCTGAGGTAGGAGGACCTCAACCTGGGAGGTTGAGGCTGCAGTGAGCAGTGGTCATGCCAGCCTGGATGACAGAGTGAGACCTTACCTCAAAAAAATGAAATGCAAAGAAATAAAATAAATTAAAATAGAAATCAAAATCCTTACTGAGACCTCGTGACCTACAACCTGTGAAGGCCTTCTCCCCAGCCCCTGCCTAGATGTACTCTATCAACATCATTTCTTGCTGTTGCCCCAACAAGCCGTGCGCAGCCTGCCTCAGGCCTTTGCACATCTGTCTGGAGGCTTTCTTAAGATATCAGCATGGTCAGCTCCTTCACTTCATTCAAATCTTTACTCAAGTTTCCACAATGAGGCCTTCTTTGACCATTCTCTCAAAAATAATCTTACCCTTCCACTTCATATTTATCTTCTTTAGCATTCATTACTATCCAACACACTATACATCATACTTATTTATCTTTTACTTTACCCCTTTCCAAACAGAATGCAAGATTCTTGATGGTAGGAAATTTTGTCTCCTTCATTCTCTGCTGTATCCTCTGTGCCTGAAACACTGGCTGCTACATAGTAGCTGCTCAGTAATGTCTGTTTAATGGATGAATAAATAATAAGACAAGACTGGGCACAGTGGCTCAATCCTGTAATCCCAGCACTTTGGGAGGCCGAGGCGGGCGGATCACGGTCAGGAGATCGAGACCATCCTAGCTAACACGGTGAAACCCCGTTTCTACTAAAAATACAAAAAAATTATCTGGGATTGGCAGCGGGCACCTGTAGTCCCAGCTACTCAGGAGGCTAAGGCAGGAGAATGGCGTGAACCCAGGAGATGGAGCTTGCAGTGAGCCGAGATCGTGCCACTGCACTCCAGCCTGGGTGACAGAGCAAGACTCCATCTCAAACAAACAAACAAATAAATAAATAATAAAGAATAATAATAATAAGACAAAAAGGATGTGTCTACTAATAGCTATGATATAATACAGAAATTAAATAGTATAAACAGAGAATGAATACAGTTCTTAAGTTATGAGACACTACATATCTGTGTTTGAGGATAGTTTTCAGCAAGTGATATTCTTTTAATTTGTTTTCTTTTCAGTAAAATGGGCTTATGTGGTTAATAAAATACCTCTCCCATAAATACTGATTATACAGTGTTGTTTTTTCTTTAGATTCCTTTCAGTTTAAAATGGAACTAAGAATATATCTATTCTTAGAGCAATTATTGAAGTGCATCTTTGTTATGAATAATTCCACTTAAACTATGCAATGTTTGATAATAGATCTTAAAGATGAAATCAATTTCTTATTTTCTTTTATAATTAGCCTCCTCCCATTTGGAATCTTAATAGCTGAAATCACGGAGATCCATGGTGTTTTTAATCAAATTAGCAAGCAGATTTCCTCCTTTATAGCCCTTCCATAAAAATCTGTTTAGCATAAAATGAAGATGCTGTAGCATTTCCAGGCAATATTTGATTATGTACAGACTTAAATGCTTTCAATTCTATCCAATTATTGTAGGGTGCATCTAATTATATCTTCACTCCTAATTCAGCAATCTGTTTTTCCAGTTGTTTCAATCTAGAATATCACTCTTTTCTCCTACCAGCACAAAGAAGATATAATGGCCCTGCATAGCACTGATCAAGCAATTTCCCTAAATGAATAACTACTCTTCTTTATGGGCAACACTGGAAGCTGCAAACAAATACCATCATTCGTTCAACTAATTGGAAAAAAAAATCACTAAGGAAGAAAAAGGATTTAGAAACTAACTTCCCCCAAAAGCAGGAGTCACAGATGATATAACAAACAAGTTTGCATTACTCTACGTATATGAGTGTGTGCAGCTGAAGCCTCCATGTCGAGAAAACATATCCAAGAGAGAGTTCTGAACAAGAGCAGGGTAAACAGGAGAGCCAGTTTGGAGAGGAAGAGCACAGGGATTAAGGGGTACAGTTCACTATTTTATCTGGGAAGACTTATCTCTTCACTTGCTGAATTGGGGCTTTCTAAGTACACAACCAGCATTACCTATTTCCAAGTGGTAAAAATTAAAAGCAGTTGGGTGGTGTGGAATAAGCAAGGGCAATCTGCTTAAATTATTTAAATGGGCATTTCTCTATCCTCTGTTATATGACTCCCTCCTAGCTTCTTTCAAGATAGTACATTCCCACTTACCTCTGTGCAAACAAACAGTGACTCAGCCATCTTATCTAAAATTTCAATCCACCCAACGATTTTATATTTTTATATTTTAAAATAATCTTTTTGGACAAATACTGGTAGTAAACAGTTCCAAATGACCCTGTGCCTAACACACATGTATTGAGGATGTGGTATTTCTAATAATTGGGGGTTGAGATATGGGGAAAGGGTATATTAAAAATAAGAAGAAGGAAAGGAGAAAAGGGAGGGGATGGGAGGAAAGGAGAGAGAGAAAGAAGGAGGAGGAGATGAAAGAAAGGAAGGATGGAAGGAAAAAAGGAAAGAAGGAATGAATGAAGGAAGGAACCATATGAACTATCTGCTATCTAGCCATGACATTGATGAGTTATGCCACTAAGCAAAAAACTCTTGTCTTAGTCCTTTCGGACTGTGTAACAAACACCAAGAACTGAATGTCTTAGAAACAACCAAAATTTATGTCTCATTATTTTGGAAGCAGGGAAGTCCAAGATCAAGGTGCCAACAGATTAGGTATCTGGTGAGGGCCATCTTCTCACTGTGTCATCACATGGCAGAAAGGGGTGAGGCAGCTCTTTAGAGCTTCTTTTATAAGGGCTCTAATACCAGTAACAAGGGTTCCACCCTCCTGACCTAATCACCTCTTCTACCTAATTGTATAGTATTGGTGATGAGGTTTTCAACGTAGGAATTTTGAGAGGGGCGCAAACATTCAGACCACAGCAACCCTAAAGTTCACTAAGATTTTATTTCTCTTTATTTCTGAAATGTAGACAAAATATCTACCTTATCAAAACCACAGGCTTTTATGAAGATACCCATGATATAATCTACATAAAAATAGTTTTTAAAATTATATGTTGCTATGACTTTATTTTATAATTATAATAAAATCTTGATAATCCTATGTATATTCTCCACTATATGCTCTTTCTTGGGTTAAAAAAATAAGAAACCTATATTAGCATAAAATGCAGTGTCCAAAAGTGTTTGTATATAAATACTACTCCTTATAATTTAAAAAATATTTTTAAGCATAAACAAAATAATATATCATGATCCTTCTATTCGCTATTTCTCTCTGAAAATTTTGTTAACAACCTGCAATACTGACCTCATAATAGATCTGCATACAGAAAAAAATGAACTTCTCAGGTGGGGGTGGGACACACACAAAAGAGAGTGAAGAGACAGCCTCTGATGTAGGATCAGATTCACTTAGTTGTGCTATCTTAGTTAATGATGAACCTTTGAATAGCACTTCATTGAAGTCTGTCCGGATTCTGATCATTTTCTTCTTTTATAGATCTTCTGGTATTTGGCCTCTTGTTCACTTTTGGCAAGATGCACCAGCTTTGTCTCTCCAGTTACCACTTTAGATCTGACACTGACATAGCCCAGACCTCTGCTGGCCCAGACCAGTATTCATAACTGGATTGTGCTTCATTTTTTTTTCCATTTATAGCCAGAAGGAATAAAATTGAGTATTTCTCAAGATATGAGATTACTCTTATCTTTAGTATCACTTATCGCTTGTTAATACAAAAAGCAGCTGTACTGATGAACTTCAGGACCTAGAAATTTGCCTTAGGACTAGAAAATTTAAATGGGATTGATTTTCTTTGCCATATTTCTATACCCTGTTCAACCTCTGAAATTATTAGGTTTTAAAAGAATTGTACAGTTTCTTAGCAATATTCACGAGCAAAACATCCCAGTGTGTAAGCTGTTGGTCTTACTCCTGATACTGCCATTAAAATGTATTTTCACCAATATACACATATTTTATAGGTGTGTTTGGACTAAGTAATCACTTCAGAAGGCTGGGATGTAAAATGGAGAAGAGATAAAATTAGAATTGGAAGATGAGTACACAGCAGACAAGAAGAGAGAAATTTTAAACTGTAGTCAAGAAAAGTAGGCAAACCTTAGCTAGGAAAATCTCAAAGGCAACAGCCAGAATCTGGAGAAGTAGTACTGTGCCAGTGGGATAAGCCCTAGCAAGGACTGACTTATCACTGTCACATTCCCCAGATCTCCCACAATCCCTGGATTCTCAGCTTGCAACATAATTCTTGAGTTCTCTTTAAAATTTTGAAGTGAGTTAATTCATTATATTTTCTATTCCCACTGTTCTAGCTCATTACACAAAGTGCAAGCGTCTGTGAATATCTGCCTTCTCCTTTCTGTTCAGCCTTAGACTGCTATGCTGCTCCACCTTCCTCTCTTTTGACCTAAACCCCAGCTTCTCTGATCCCCCTGGACCCCTCCACTTTCTTGCTTTAATTTCCTCATTCTCCCTTGAGGCTTTTCATTCTCCTGCATCTCACCTGATTCAGAGTCTTTTTTACAGGACTTACCAAACCATTTTGTGTGCTAATAGAAAGATACAGAGAGGACTGTAATAGGAAACATTTCTGAAACTTATTTGATTGTGGAATGCTTTTTCTTTATTCATAGAATAGCTAATAAAAATCTCTGATAACTAGTAGTATTCCAAACTTTGGAAAAATGATACAAAAGCCTATATATTCTGTCTAGATTTTATCATTAAGATTAATATTGTAAAAGTATAAAAACAGTAATAAAAATACATTTCAGAAGAAACTTATCATTAAAGGATAGCTTCCATATTGTGTTATAGATAACTTGTCACAAACATAATGCCTTTGAGATAATTTCAAAAATCTCATTAATTTTAGTCAAAGAAATGAAAACAATCCCATGTCTGGCTATATTTAGCAAAAATTGAATATTCTATCAAAACTCCTCTTTACAACCCAGAAACTGAAGTGTTTGTTTTAATTATTACCTAGTTCTAAGGTCAATATAACATAAAACAAATGTTTATCATTCAAATGTAACTGCATTTCTGTGAAGATTTTAGGTATGTAATGCATGACATACTTTAGATATTTGAACATTATGATTGAAGAATATGAATATTCTCAGTGGTGAGAGTAGATCATAATCTCAGCATGTCATGAGGGGGATGCAGTAGGAGGTAACTGAGGTAATTGAATCATAAGGATGGGTTTTCCTGTGTTGTTCTTGTGACAGCAAATAAGTCTCATGAGATCTGATGGTTTTATAAAGGGCAGTTCTCTTGCATACGTTCTTTTGCCTGCCACCATGTAAGATGTGCCTTTGCTCCTCCTTCACCTTCTGCCATGTTTGTAAGGCCTCCCCAGCCATGTGGAACTGTAAGTCAATTAAACCTCTTTTTCTTTATAAATTGCCCCGTCTCAGGTATTTCTTCATAGCAGTGTGAAAATGGACTAATACAGTAAATTGGTACCAGTTTACTGCTACAGGTGCTGCTATAAAGATACCTGAAAATGTGGAAGCGACTTTGGAACTGGGCAACAGGCAGAGGTTGGAATAGTTTGGAGGTCTCAGAAGAAGACAGGAAGATGTTGGAAAGTTTGTAACGTCCTATAGACTTGGAAGGCTCAGAAGACAGTAAGATGTGGGAAAGTTTGAGACTTCCTAGAGACTTAAATGGCTTTGGCCAAAATGCTGAATAGTGATATGGACAGTAAAGTCCAGGCTGCGGTGGTGTCATATGGAGATGAGGAACTCGTTGGGAACTGGAGTAAAGGTCATTCTTGCTATGCAAAGATACTGGTGGTATTTTGCCCCTGCTCTACAGATCTGTAAAACTTTGAACTTAAGAGAGATAATTTAGGGTATCTGGAGGAAGAAATTTCTAGGTGGCAAAGCATGCAAGAGGAAGTAGAGTATAAAAGTTTGAAAAATTTGCAGCCTGATAATGTGATAGAAAAGAAAACCCCATTTTGGGGGTAGAAATTCAAGCTAGCTGTATAAATTTGCATAAGTAATGAGAAGCCAAATATTAATCACCAAGACAATGGACAAAATGTCTTCAGGGCATGTCAGAGACCTTCACAGCAGCCCCCCTCCAATCACAGGCATGGAGGCCCCACTCTATGCAGCCTCAGGACATGGTGCCCCCTGCATCTCAGCTGCTTCAGCTCCAGCCATGGTTAAAAGGGGCCACTGTACAACTCAGGCTGTTGCTTCAGAGGGTGCAAGCTCCAAACCTTGGCAGCTTACACATGGTGTTGAGCCTGTGGGTGCACAGAAGTCAAGAATTGAGGGTTGGGAACCTCCAACTAGATTTCAGAGGATGTATGGAAATGCCTGGATGTCCAGGCAGAAGTTTGCCGCAGGGGCGGAGGGTCATGGAGAGCCTCTGCTAGGATGATGCAGAAGGAAAATGTGGGGTGAGAACCCCCACACAGAGTGTCCCCACTGGGGCACTGCCTAGTGGAGCTGTGAGAAGGAGGCCACCGTCCTCCAGACTGCAGAATAATAGATATACAAACAGCTTGCACCATGTGGCTGGAAAAGCTGCAGGCACTCAACACCAGAGCATGAAAACAGCCAGGAGGGATCTGTACCCTGCAAAGACACAGGGGCAGAGCTTCCCAAGACCGTGGGAACTCACCTCTTGCATCAGTATGACCTGGATTTGAGACATGGAGTCAAAGGAGGTCTTTCGAAGCTTTAAGATTTGACTGCCCTGTTGAATTTCAGAATTGCATGGGGCCTGCAGGCCCTTCATTTTGGCCATTTTCTCCCACTTGGAACAGGTATATTTACACAATGCCTGTACCCCCATTTTATCTAGGAAGTAACTAACTTGCTTTCTCCTTATAAATTACCCAGTCTCTGGTGTTTCTTCATAGCAGTATGAAAATGGACCAATATACACCTGTAATGTTAATTTCTATCTGCTGGTCATTTTTTTTAAAACATGGAGATTAAATTGAGATTTGCATTATCTGTATTTAAGGCAATCAATAAGTAGTTGATATATTTTTCCAAAAGGGTGATCTCTGCCTTGCTGGTGTCAAACACTTTTTGTTTGAGAGTTTTACCTGAAAGCTCCATACTAAGTTTAAGTAGAAGTTCAAGAGAAACTTCTATTTTAAAAGAAATAACACATGCTGCAGAAAAGATAAGCTTTTGGGATCAAATTCATTTGCAGATACTTAAAAAAAATCTGTTATGGTGACAAGTGACATAAGAGTTAGACAGAAAGGAAATGAAAGGATGCCTTATTAATAAAGCCAATTAAGTCCTGGATGCTGCTGCCCAGCTTCGAAGTTGCTGACAGACTATACGATGATATAATTTCAGACTGTTAATTGTGTCCTCAACCTTGTTGCTAACCATCTGTGCTAAGAGCTTTTGCTCTCTTTTTTGCATGAAGAAGTGCCATTTTTAATTTCACTTTCCCTGCAAAATTGAAGTGTCAAAAAAAAAAAAAAAGCAAGGAACACATAGGTGCTTGTGCTCTTTTATTCAAGAATATTCCTGCACATATCCTTTTTTGGAAAGCCATAATTTTTCTTTGTCAGCGTCCTGATCTATTTTTACAGTAAAACAAAGAAAAAAATAGAAGTGCATAAAAGAAAGAGTAAACAATAAAAACCAAGCAAAAATTGCCCTTACCTTTGCTAAGATCATCCTGACTCATTCATCCAAAGACTTACAATTCCTCTTTCTTTGTTTACAAAGTCATTTTCTCCAAAGATATAGAAAACCCAGCTCTGTCTTGGAAAACCATTGCTGCCCTATTTTTTAATCAAGAGAGGGCATGAGTAACTCAGAACTAGGGTTTATGCCTTTTAGTAGCTTGTCACTGAAAGAAGCAATATGAATATGGGAGAGTATGTACAATGTCCATCAAAATAATAAACATGGAACAATCCAGCAATTCAACAGATGAGCAGTTATAAGCACATTAGAGACAGGTTTGCCTACTTTTAGTCATAAGTGGGATGTTCCATATGCCCTCTTAGACTAAACCTTCAGGCATACCTTAATATGTAACTTTTAAATAAACTCTTAATTTCAGAATAGTTTTAGATGTACAGGAAATTTACAGAGAGAGTAGAGAAAGTTGTTGTATGTTCCAAATCCAGTTCCCTCTATTTTTAACTTCTTATATTACTATGGTTCTTTCATCAAAACTAATGAGTCAATATTAATATATTATTATTCACTAAACCCAATATTTTATTCATATTTTCTTTTTTACTTATTTTCTTAGTTTTTCTTTTTCCCTCTGTTTTGTGTTGCTAGAAAAAAAGAGGTGAAATGTCATTCTCATCACATCATATCAAGTTATTATTGGCTGTTAATACAACTTACCACTCTTGATGTTAAGTGTTATCACCTTGCTGAGGCAATGTTTATCAGGTTTCTCCACTGTAAAGTTCCTCTTTTTCTCCATTTCTATACTGTACTATTTGGGAGGAGGTTATTATGTGCAGCTCACAATTATGGACTTGGAATTTATGCTTCTACTTGAGGGTGAAGTATCCACATAACTTGTTGGGAATTCTTCTGTATGACACATCTGCCTTTCTCCCTCATTTATGTATTTAATCATTTATTTATATAACTATGCACTCATGGATATTCATTCTCTACACTGGAGTATAATATAATACTGCAATATTTATTTTGTTTATCAAATTACTCCTTTATGCGTTACTCAAAATTGGCCATTGGGGGCTCTTTTGGTTGGCTCATATTTTTTTCTTTTGGTAGGCTCCCATTCTTTTGCTTTTTAAAACACTTCACTGTTGTGTCTCATGGTTTCCATGCCTTACAGCACCTCATAATATGCCTGGAATTAATAAGTTCTTGATAAATATTTGCTGACAGATCTCAGATAACCATGAATCTAAATTTTTATTTGATATGTATATGGAAGACAAGAAAAGGTAAATGTCAAAGATTTATAAATTCTGTCTAAAGGTTTCCATTTTCTCGTATCCTATTCTATTTGGGGGAATGCAGTCTGCATGCTGTAAATATCAAGTCTGATTCATAAGTCATTAAAAGTTGATATTCTTAAGGGATACTAAAAGTTATATCAAATTTGTTATTTGTGAAATTTGTTTGAGAATGGCATTTGGTTTGAGAGTAGCCTCGCAATTATTTTTTTTCTGCTATTGTTTTAAATCCCACAATGCTGCTACCCTCTCAAACACAGAGCTTTACCACACTTATGACTACATTTCTTTGGAATAAAATTTGCTCTCTTCTGTGCATAAAAAGCATTGTGATAACATACAAATGCTGTGAAGAAGATATTCCTAAGCATGATATAAGTCTTTCTGTATCTGCTGATCACTCAATGGATACATAGTATTCAAAAGGATTGCCAATGTTAGGTACATTAAAATGTTTATTATAACTAAAATATAAAGATAAAATATAATAAGCATAAATTAGCTCATAACTGCAAGAAGGATGATGCTGTTTATATCTGACCTAAGCATAATGAGTTCATTTCTTAGTAAAATTAAGTCAAAACTTTTAATTGTATCTGTCAAGATTTTCAGGAAGCATTCAGAACCTCTTTAGATAGTTTTGAATACTGAGATATTTCTCATTGAATCTAACTTTTGGTGCCCCATCACATATCAACATATCATGCTCAAAGCTAAAAGGTTAAATTATTCTACTCACTCAAGTATGAGGAAGTCAAGACAAATGACTTTCTAATTACTCTTGGTGACATTTTCCTCAAATGCATTTCTTAATGATCTAATGCAATATATGGATGTGATTTTAAAATATGCCCACTGATACCCCATCAATATATTTCTCAGGCAAGTAGGAGATAAAGGCAATCATTAAGGATTGGAAAAAGTCAATCTATAAGCCATCAGCTCTTTTACATGATTTCCTTTTGATCTTGCTAAGGAAGTCTATTACCTTCATCTCAGAAAAGTCATTTCTTTGGCAATGGGTAATTGATTCAGGCTATACTAGATATCGAATATATCACTAAGATATGCTGCTTGAGAAAGCCACTTGAAATCACAGAGATGACAGTGTTGGTCTTGGAAAGAAATGTTTGCTTCCCACTTTCTTATTTCAAAAGCACCATTCCTTCTACTTTATATTTTTAAAAAATTGTGGTAAGAACATGTAATAAGATCTAACCTTTATCAAATTTTTAAGTACACAATACAGTATTTGTTCACTATTAGCACAATGTTGTACACCAAATATTTAGAACTCATTCGTCTTCTACAACAGAAACTTTATACCCATTGAACAGCAACTCCCCTCCCACTTCTTTCTCCCCCGGTACCTTTTTTTTCCTGAAACTGGCAGTTTTGCATTTGCTGTGCATGTCTTTATGCAGTATACTTAGCATCCATAATATTATTATATTCCCAATGCTCATTATTTCCTTTTATGTTGAATCATGGTGAAGAATAATTAAATTGGCTGGCCAACTGGTTTCCAGCCTAAAGCAGTTTGAGTATTGGCACTAAGGTGCAAACCTTGCCATTCCTTCTTTAACACCTTTCTCTTGGGCCCAATAAGTAGTGCTCATTCATTTCTAATTCCAATAGGACATTGTCTGAGGCTACAATATTGTTCAAAATAATAATAAGCAGTAACTAAAGAAATACCTCTACTGGCACAAATTTTTGGTGAACCAAATGTCCCTCATGTATGTGTGTGTTTATAGATAAGTATGTACTGTACATATACTAACATTTGATTATACTATACACACCTCAGCTTTTGTAAGATTGTATAGAAAAAAATATCATCCATAATACACATGATAATTTATCTTCCACATTGTCTCCCATTCATATTATGTGACATTCAATAAAGTCATTGAAAGAGTAATTTTCTTTCCAAGCAACATGTTACTCCTTAACTTTGCAATGAAGCAATACAGCAACCTGCACCTTTTTGAAATGCCAGGTAATTTGAATGTGTCATGCAGCTACTTGACAAGTTTACATATTAGACAATTCATGGGGGACCGAGGACAAATACATTGAAGTTGGTCCTGCAAAGTAGAATTTCTATTATTTATCAAAAAATAATTTAAATTATCTGGAAACTAAGTAAGACTAATAAAAAATTAAAATATTCAAACTATACTACACGAGAGAAGTAGTATAGTGTAGTGGTTATACACATGAGTTTTGGAATCAGTTGTTCCTGGTTATAATTCCTGCTTTCTGTGGACTTTTGGAAAATTATTCAACTTTATTAATTTTCAGTTGCACTATTTGGTAAAATGTAGTTAATGATGTATCTGTTTCGTGGGATTATTGTAATAATTATTGTAATAGTCCCATGAAATAGTGTATATAAAATTTTAACACTATAATTGTCAAATAGCATTCAGTAATTGGTGATTACTTTTATGAACTGAAGGAGAAATTTATCATATTGAAATATTTGGAGAAGGACACAGAGAGTTTTATAAAACAATAGAGCATTGTTTGCAATTTCTAAATATCAGATATTAGATAAATGTTCCTGAATAAGTAATTGGTTAAAAAATTATGATCCAAACAAAGAATGGAATATTATACTGCTCTTAAAAACAGTATTATTGACTTATATGTGTTGACATAGAAAACATCCATGATATAGTCACAGGACAAAAGGAAGTTATAAAATTATGTATGGTATGATTTCATTTTGTGAAAAAAATGTTATTAGCTGTATATGTGCACAGCAAATGCATTTGAAACATATACATCTAAATAGTAATATTATTCTATTTATCTTTGGCTATTACCTAAATTTTTATAATGAACATGTATTAATTCTACAACAGAAAACTATTTTATTAATTTTTTTCTATTTGTTCACATATCTTCTCTTTATTTTTCTCATTTAACTCATTCCCAAACTCATGTGTCTGAAAACCTTGTCATCATATTTTGTGGGCTTCTATACTTAGGAGTCAAAAAAAGAAGTACTTAAGGATATCTCTTTGAAATCATTAAAAAAATTATGCCTACTTACCTTAACTATTAACATCCTATAGTAAAACATTAAACAAAGTGAAACTATCCTTATTCGATAGTTAGAAAATCATAAGACCTTACAAATAAATAATATATCTTTGAAGATAAAAAGCAAAATTTATTATTTACTTGAGAGTCTACTAATTTAGCAAGTAATTTTAGCAAAGTATACTATACAAACATGCAAAACAAAAACACTTTAGGTTAGTCTGTAAATTAACACTTTGTAATCCCTCCAGGAGAGGGGTTAACCGAATAGTTTACAATTACTGAAAATTTATTCCATGTGTGGCAGTAAGTTCAATGTATGAATTACACACCTTAATTTAATTAACTGCCTGAGGAGACAGAGGGTAGTTTCATCCTCATTTTATAGATGAGAATGTGGAACCTAGTGTGGTTAAATAATTTTGGTCAGGGTTCCCTAACCAACCAGTTGTAGAGCTGAGGTCTGAACCCAATATTTATTAGCTGAATTATAAGATCTGTCTTATTATTCAAAAAATAACCAATTGATTACTCAGATGTTCACAATGATTTCTCTGCTGTTTTCCTTTTTTTGGTTTTACTTCATCCCTGTATTCTACTCCTAGCTGCTTTCAGTGATGTAAGTGAAGCACCACAGAAGTGGCTTCTGGTTATGGAAAATTTCTTAAAAGTTCCACCTTTCTAGGGCTATTTTTTTCCTTTTTTGGCAATGACATTTAGTTTAGACCCACAGTAAGAAATACATTTTATATTATTACCCAGTACACACGCATACAAATGGTCCATACCTTCCCTAAAAGACAAGAATATTGTTGTTATTATTATTTTTAAAAAAGTGCCCTGGGGACTCCAGGGAAAGGGTGGGAGGGGGATGAGGGATAAAAGACTACACATTGGGTACGGTGTACACTACTCAGGTGATGGATGCAACAAGATCTCAGAAACCACCACTAAAGAACATATCCATGTAACCAAACACCATCTGTTCCCCAAAACCTATTGAAATAATAAATAAATAAATAAATAAATGGCTATAGATACATAAAGTCCTCTGAAGTGAACAGAATAATATGCTTTTTGTGTATTTGCTTTGAATGTTAGACTAAAAGTCTGCAAATAGTTTTTTTGCTTGGGCAATTATACTTCATAAATGTTTTAGGAAAGCTTATAGGAACTGTTATATGCTTTTTACATTTTAGCACAAATTACATTACAGTATATCAAAACACATTATAAAATATTTTCTCATATAAAGAATGAATGTGTCTAAATCACCAAAAACAGAACATAAGAAAGCATAATAAAGTTGAGTACCTATAAATGTCTGGCAAAATGTATGTAGCTTAGTGCTAACAAGTCCCCCAAAATTGTCGCCCTTTCTCTTTTGGTGTCAGTCCAGGGACAATTTTCAGCTTTTTTGTGAAGAAAAATATTCCTCTATATTATGTACTTACTACAGTCTAATTAACCTTCCTCTATTATCCAAACCCTCATGATTCTGCTGTGGAATGCATGCTTACACACAGTAATGACTAACCTGCAGCTGAAACCAGAGAGGATGCGTTCTACTGGGGGCAGAAACACTGACATTTTGATCATTTTCAGGAGCAGCTTATAAAGCCTTTTAGAAATGGAACAGCAGACACATATGTTCTTTCAACCTTTGTTTTTCGGTCAGTTTTCTGGAATGATGTTGAGTACTAATAAAAAGTTTCATGGAGTGGAAAAGAATTCCTATCTCCCATAAAGTATTAGCATTTATTAAAAAAACAAATAATATCAAAAACAAATGACTTTTGATTTTGTTCCAATATCTAGTGATGTAAATGTTAGGATGAGAAAAAACAATGTATCATGGGTAACGTGGGCATTTTGTAGAGAGACAGGAAGAAATGCAATTGATAAATGGCACCATTTGCATCTTCTGCATTTCATGCTGGGACTCAGGAAAATCTTTAACTTCTCTGAGACTCGTTCATATGAGAAATGAAGACTATAATATCCTCTTCATAGAACTGTGATGATAGGAAAAATAACTCTTGTAATTTACTGACATGTTTTAGGCAATTTAGTAAATTTTAGATCACCTCCCCTTCCCTAATTCCTCTCCACATGTTAGAGAAATGGTTTACTTATTTGAGAAGAGGCAATAAATTTGTTGTATACCAGGTGAAGAAAAAAAGGATACTTCTTTTGGTTTCCATAATGTCTGCAAAGTTATAGGAAATCTTTTCTCAATCTCAATTTCTTTGGGGTACTTATGAGAATGACTCCCAGAAGAATCACTGAATGAACGTGGAAGCTGGGATTCCCTAAAGCATTCTGAGGTTATGGAACAAGCACATATTTCCTCTGAAGGTCTAGAAGCAGTAGAATGCGAATAAGCTGTCTATAAAACTTTCTTCTCAGAGATAGGGATTTGTAGCCTGCATTCCTCCTTTTGCTTAAACAATTATGATTAAGGTTGACGATTTGAAACAAAGGTGTGTGTGTTCGTGTGTATGTGTGTGTTTGGAGGAGTATGACAACACTACATTTGTAGTCTGGATAACTGCATT